>NC_000002.12:192338102-192641133 GCF_000001405.40 Homo sapiens
TTGGATTCTAAGATATGACAAATTTGTTAAAACAATCAGTGGACTTGATAATATCAAGAGCTCTTGAGCCAAAGACTTGGGGAATCTAAGTTATGTTATCCAAACCTCAAAACCTCAGAACTGCCTTTATTCTTATTGATGACATGAATGTTTCATGGTTCCTTGGAAAGTTTTATTTACCAACATTTAGAGTAGAGAAGGAGTGCTATAAAATCATACTCCTCTCCCTCACTTGAAACTCTCAACTATAACCTGTCTCTGGACACCTGCTTCCGATACGTTTGCCAAGACATCTATGCATTCTCATTTGAAAATAGATCCATCAGATGTCAAGTATCTCCTTATGAATGTTGAATTTTACACCCCTATTTAGCACCTTATAAAACATAATCTATATATAAGAATTTAACATATACCATTTTAATTATTTTGATGCAAATTTATCACAGCAAATTTTAACAATTTATTATTTAGTCTCTGCAGAGAGAGCAGATTAAGGCTGCTTATCAATTCAACAAACATTTATGTAAGCTGCATATAAGCTCCTTGTATTTTAACCTCTATTATTCCACAAACAAGGATTGAATGTGTTATTCTGTTCTCAGACATTTTCTTTCCTTCAGATTTTTTAACCCATCCCTGTGGCAGTTATAGCCACTCTTCCCTAAAATTCCTATGCCAAACTTGTCTTTGCCGAAAAGATTGTCTGGATTAATTTAACCAGCTCCAATAATCCTATCTCATTTCTTTTTATCACCTATACACTTTGCTAGTCCACATTTATTATCCTTCTTAATATTTATAGTTTACATAATTGTGACCTACAACTTTATCTGAACAGGAATCACAAAGTTTATCAGTGTCTCAGGCCTTATATTCATTACTTTGAGACTCATGTTCCATAACCATAGTGTTACTGACAAACACTATACCTACATTTCTCCCTGAGGATATCAGTATTTCTTTGTTAGTTGTATCACCTCCTCACTTAATTACTAAAGTGAAGGCCAATCCAAAAGTGAAAACAAATACATTCTCAGAGACACCTCACAACCATATCGCATTATTCATGGAAGAGAACAAACATATTCTCAACCCAAAATAATTATCCTTGAATTCAGGAGTTTAAAAATATTTGTTGAGAACTCCCATAAGCTTTTGTAATTTAGCCTCTTGTATCCCCAGCTCCCTTTCTATCTCTTTCAGTCAATGAAAGAGAAAAGTTAATCTATACTATTAAGAGTTTCAAAATTTAAAAGAAACATAATATATGTTCTTCCAAATTCTGAACCAAATGATAAATCGAGCATCTAGGAGATAATTCAGCTAGTATATATTTTTTTCTCCTGCATTGGAGACCAAGCTTGGACTCATGAACCTAAATGGCCTGCTTTACTTAACTAGCTGAATTGGTTTAATTCACCATATTGCAGAAAAGCAGCTGAGAGGTGCAGATAAACAGCAGCCCTGGTGAGCCTACATTATACAAGAAGCAGCACAGAAAACAGTCACCATTAACAACCAAGCAGGACTCACACATGGCACCGTATAACCCAAAACTTCTAACACATTAATCTCCCTTGGAGTGACCAGGGCTGTCAATTGTCCTAGTATTAATTAAGGTTGGGTTGACTGAAGAAGGAGGAGAGAGGGCCCAGGAGATTTTCTTTCTCTATTTCCTCTCTGCTGAGAAGTCTGCTCTTGAAAAGATGAGAAAGCAGGAATTAATGTTTCCTCTAACAAAATGCCCAGGGAAGATCCCAAAGGTATTCAAAGATATTCCACACGTACTGTTTTCTGAAAGAATGGCCAGTGTGGGATAGGACTTTCCACATTTGAAAGTAATCATCAAAGAAAAAAAGCAACATACGTGGTAAGAATACATTTAGAGCAAAGTATAGGAAATGCAACATACATATAACACAAGGAAAAACATCTCAGAAAACTAACCCTAGAAAGCAGTTGAAAATACTATTCTCAAATAAATTGCACTTGCAAGAAAATTAATGCAAACAGGTTAAATGAAATAGAAATTGATAAAACAACAATATGAGATAAAAAGGGATTTGATGGAATTATGAAAAGAGATATTGAACAACGAAAAACATTCACATGCAGCAAGATGCAGAGCAGACATGCAAATTAAAAAAACCCCAAACAAATAAAGAAACAACAACCAACAAGTCTGTGAACTGGATCACAGCCTCAAGAAAAATCAATGGTATGCAGGGACACAATCAAAAAGATGAAAGTCAACAGAGAAAATAGAACAGATATGGCAGAGGATAAAGGGCCATTTCAGTGATAAAGAGCCAATAGACAGACATCCCTAGGGTTGCAAAATAAATCTAAAATATTGAAATGGACATAATTTTGAAAATATAATAAAATAATTTTATGTAATGAAAGAAACATTAATTGAAAGAAAATCACTGTATATTGAAAAGGTCAATTCCAAAGCATTTCCTCGCAAAATGCTTGAAATTGAAGACAAAAATATTATTTCTTTGTGAGCATTCAGGCCTGTGCAGCAGGTTAATACAAAGGATGTATTTTAAAAACACAAATGCAGGCTTCCTGCAGTTAGCAGGCAATGAAAAATATATACACTTTCAAAGGAAAGAGGGCACTCTGAGAATTCTGTAAATGGTTAAAATACACACAACACCAACGGCAAGATGCCCTTAATTATACAATAGCTCAGGACTTTTCACCAACAATTCCAGGGGTATCACTCCCATTTGTGTGTGTATGGAGGGTACCTACAAAACTGTGCCATATACAATGTGTGGGCTTGTATGTGCTTCAAAACCAAAACAATAGGATATTGACCACAATAGAATCAAAATATAGTAACCACAAATGAGAAAGTCCTAGATTGAATACTGAACCTGGAAAATAAATGTGATGAGGACATTAAATATTATTATATGAAAAAAAGTCATAACCTTGGAGACTTCAGAAAAGACTATTTGGAGCAGTTTTAGGTTCACAGCAAAATTAAGAGGAAGGTAGAGAATTGTCATATACCCCTTGTCTCCACACATGCATAGCCTCTCCCATTATCAACATCTTCCACCAGAGTGGTACATTTACGACAGTTGAAGAACCTTCATTGACGCATCATAATTACCCAACGTCCATAGTTTACATGGGTTCACTCTTGGTAGGCTGCACATTCTATGGGTTTGAACAAATGTGTAATGACATATATTCATTATTATAGTATCAAAGAGAGAATTTTCACAGCCTTCAAAATCCTGTATGCTTGGCCTATTCATATCTCCCTACCCTCAACCTCTAGCATTGCCTTTTTCAGACTAGCATATAGTTGGAATCATACAGTACATAGCCTTTTCAGATTGACTTTTTTTCACTTAGTAATAATATGTACTTAAGGTTTCTCCATGTCTTCCCAGCTTACTTCTTTTTAGTGCTGAATAATGTTCTGTTGTTGGAATGTGCTACAGTTTATTCGTTCAACTACTGAGGAATATCTTGGTTGCTCCAAATTTTGGCAATTATGATTAAAGCTGCTATAAATATGCATGTGCAGGCCTTTTTTCTGGACATAAGTTTTCAACTCATTTGGGTAAATACCAAGGAGTGTGATTATTGGATCATATCATAAGAGTATGTTTAGTTTTGTAAGCAATCACCAAACTGTTTTCCAAAGTGGCTGTACGTACCATTTTTCATTTCCATTACCAATAAATGAGAGTTCCTGTTGCTCTACGTACTTGACAGCATTTGGTGTTGCCATTGTTCTGAATTTTGGCCATTCGATTAGGTGTGTAGTAGCATCTTGTTTTAATTTCTATGGGCTTTATAACGTATCATATGAAGAATTCTTTATATGCTTATTTGACAGCTCTGTATCTTCTTTGGTGAGGTGCATAGTAAGATTTTTGGCCCATTTTGAAATTGGATTGCTTGTTTTCTTATTGTTGAGTTTTAAGTGTTCTTTATAGATTTTGGATAACAGTTCTTTATTAGATGTGTCTTTTGCAAATATTTTTTCCCAGTCTGTGGCTTGTCTTCTCATTCTCTTCACATTGTTTTTCACAAAGCAGAAGTTTTTAATCTTAATGTAGCTTATCAATTATTTCTTTCATGGATCATTCCTTTGGTATTGTATCTAAATAATCATTGCCATACCCAAGACCATCTCAGTTTTATCCTGTGTTATTTTCTAGGAGTTTTATAGATTTCCATTTTATATTTAGGTCTATGATCCATTTTTGAGTGAATTTTTGTGATAGGTGTAAGGTTTGTGTCTACATTCATTTTTTTTCTTACATGTGGATATCCAATTATCCAAGCACTGTTTGTTTAAAAGACTATTTTTGTTTCACTGAATTGTCTTTGCTCCTTTTTCAAAGATCAGTTGACTATATTTATATGGGTCTATTTCTGGTATCTGTATTCTATTTCATAGATTTACTCATTTTTTCCTTCACTAATACCACACTTCTTAAGTACTGCAGCTTTATAATCTTGAAGTTGAGTTGCATCAGTCCTCCAACTGTGTTCTTCTCCTTCAATATTGTGTTGGCTATTCTGGGTCTTTTACCTCTTCATAGAAACTTCTGAGTCATTTTCCTCTTCATAGAAACTTTTGAGTCGTTGTGTATATCCACAAAATAACTTTCTGGGGTTTTCACTGAGATTGCATTGAATCTATAGACCAAGTTGAGAGAAACTGACTTCTTGACAATATTGTCTTCCTATCATGAACAATAAATACAAGGAATTTCTGTCAATTTATTTAATTGTTCTTTGCTTTCATTCTTCAGAGTTTTGTATTTTTTCTCCTATAGAATTGATACATATTTTGTAAGATTTATATCTAAATATTTTCTCTTCTGGGCTGCTAATATAAATAGTATTGTATTTTTAATTTCAAATTCCACTTTTTTATTATAACCTTGTATATTAACCTTGTATCCAGCAACCTTACTATAATCACTTATAAGTTCTGTAAGTGTTTTTGTTGATTCATTTGGATTTTCTACATTGAAAATAATGTCATATATGAACAAAGAATGTTTTATTTCTTCCTTCACATTTATTACTTTTAATCGATACATGTCATAATATTTAAAGTGGCTTTCCTGTGGATAACATATATTTGGCTCTTGTTTTTTGATCCATTCTGACAAGCTTTTTTAATCAGTACAGACCTTTGACTTCAAAGTGATTATTGGTAGAATAATTATTGGATTACTATCTACCATATTTGTTGATATTTTCTATTTGTTGCCCTTGTGTTTTTTTCACATTTTTGCTTTTTACTCTTTTTCTGCCTGTTTTGGCTTTAACTAAACATTTTATATAATTCACTTTTTTCTTCTTTCTTATAATAACAGTTATACTTCCTTTTCAACTTTTGACTCTTTGCCCCAGAGCTTGCAGTATACACTTAAAATAATCCAAGTCAACTTTCAAGTACTGTTATAACATTTCAATGATAGTATGGGTATTTTATAATAACAGAATAATCTTAATTTCTCCCTTTCATTCCTTATATAATTACTGTCATTCATTTTACTTATATATAAACAAAAATAGGCATATGTATATACATTATATATGTACAGATAAGTATACATAGTTCAATACATAGTTGTTATTATTATTTTAAAAAATAATTATCTATTAAGTCAACTAAGAATTAGAAAAATAAAATTTTTTTTTACTTTTACTTATTTCTTCTTTGGTACTTTTCCTTTCTGTGTAGAGACTGCATTTCTGATCTATATAATTTTCCTTTTATCTGAATAATTTCTTTTAACACCTCCTGTAAGGAAGGTCAATGGACAATTTTTTTTTTCATTTTTGTTTGTTTGAGAAAGTCTTTATTCTTCCTTTAGTTTTGTAGGATAATTTAGCAGGGTACAAAATTTTACATTTTATTTTCTCTCAACACTAAATATGTCACTCTATTCTCTTGCTTGTATGGTTTCTGAGGAGAAATTAGATGTGATTCTTTGTTTTATCATAGGTAGGGTTTTTTACCCTCTGACTTATAGAGTCTTTTCTTTAGCTTCAATTTTCTATAATGTAATAATTATATGCCTAGGTGTAGGTTTTTTGTTTTTAATTTATCCTGCTTGTTGTTCTCTGAGCTTCTTGAATATATGGTTTGGTATCTGACAGTCTGACATTTACTTGGGGATATTCTCAGTTACTATTTCAAATATTTTTCCATTCTCTCTTTTTCTTCTTCTTCTTCATGATGCATATGTTACACCTTTTGTAATTGTCCCACAGCCCTTGGATATTCTGATCTTTTTTTAATGTCTCTGTTTTCTTTGCTTTTCAATTTTAGAAGTTTCTATTGATGATATATTCTCATGCTCAAAGATTTTTTCCTAAGCTGTGTCCAGTCTATGAATATCAAAGGCTCACTTCATTTCTGCTATGGCATTTTTGATGTCTAGCATTTCACTTTTATTCTTTCTTAGGATTTTCATCTCTGTGCTTACATTGCTCATCTGTTCTTGCAGGCTGTCTTCTTTATCCTTTAGAACCCTTTGTACATTAATCACAGCTGCTTTAAATTTCTGGTCTGATATTTCCAACATACTGGCCATGTCTGATTTGATGTTTGGGCTCTCTTTTCAAGTTGTGTTTTTGTATTTTGATATGCCTTTTAATTTTTTTCCAAATAGCCAGAGGGCATGATGTACTACTGGGTAACAGGAACTGCTATAAATAGGCCTTTAGTTTTTTGGTGGTAAGTTGTGGGAAGAAAAACACTCTATAGTCCTAAGATTAGGACTCGATTTTTTGGTGAACCTATGTCTTTGGATGGTAAACTTCATAAGGATCTTGGCTTTTTCCCCTCCTTAAGTAGGACGGGATGACTAGCATGATTGGAGTTGAGTATTTCCCTTCTGCCACATGGAAGACTAGATGGAGCTGAAGTTGGGTATTTCCCTTCTGCTAGGTAAGTTAGGATAATACCCCAGCAGTTAAGGCTCTGTCCAACCAGCTTCTCCTGAGGACAGACCTTGCTCAGAACAGAATGCTTTGGTGTATTTCCAAAGGGATCCTTTTCCTTTCTGCTTGATGGAAGCAAGAGGGATTTTTCTTCATTATTTACTGTGTGAACTTTGTTGAGCTTCTGGAGGTAAATCTCATAATATTGTAGGGGACCCCCTAAAGCTGGATGTCCGTGGAGTTTTTAACTCTCAGATGTGACCACCCTGTGCCTCCAGCAAACTGTCAATTGCAGTTCAGGTTTTCCTACCTTGGCACTCATTCGTGCTGTGCTTCCTGCTCCAGTAAGCCAGGACTCCCTGTATTTGTTTGTCTTCCTAGCCTAGGAAGCAGTGATTTTTCCCTGCTTACAAACCCAAGAAAACTTGTTGATTTTTGTCTACTCAGCTTTTTGCTTCTTCTTAAAATGGAGTAGTAACTTTCAAACTCTTTTCATGAGGAACTAGAAACCTAATCTTACTTTTTTTATAACACAAAGTAAAATTCTGAAATATAACTCACAAATTTTGGGAAAAAATGCCATTTACGACAGAGTAGGAAAACATTAATATAATATTGTAACTTTTTTTAACAAGAACAAGAAAAAGAAAAAAATTATAAACTTAACAAGATAATCTTCAAAAACAGTGAAAGAGGAAAACTTCTTAGATTGATCAAGAAAATTAGAGAGAACATGTATACTCATAATTAGGAATTACGAAGTAAACAACCACAGAGAGTGAAGGAATAAAAACAGTGATAATTAAGTGGTTTTAATAATAATAAGCTAGCTAATAAAAACTGGACCGACCATTTTTAAGAAAAAATATAGATTTCAAAAATCACCAAAAAAACTTCAAAGAAATTAAATAGAAGTGTAGCTATTTAATACACCATATTAATCAGCTCCCAAACAAAAAAAAAGTGAAATAATTAAATCTTCTAGTTTCAGAGAGTTTTACATGTTTAAATAAATAATTCTGCTACTATATAAATAATTTTAAGACATAAAAAATGAAAGAAACTTTCCACTTGCTTTAAAAGGCTGTGCCATTTTACTGTCATCCCAGCTACTCCGGAGGCTGAGGCAGGAGAATGGTTTGAGCCTGGGAGGTGGAGGTTGCAGTGAGCCAATATCGTGCCACTGCACTCCAGCCTGGGCAATAGACCGAGACTCTCTCTCAAAATAAGTAAATAAGTAAGTAAGTAAATAAATAAATAAGTAAATAAAAAGGCTATGCCATTTTAACATAAAAATAGTATAAAAGATAGCAAAAAATTTAATTATAAAAAATTTAGTAACAAATTCAAGCAAAATATCCAAATAAACTGCATCTGATCCCATCTCCACCATCCTATTATATAGTGCCTTAATATTAGTGAAGAAAGTATTGAAATTCACTATATTAACAGCTTAAATGAGAAAGCTGTCTGCTGCATGATCTAATTTTCCTGCCAAAAAGGCACTTAATAATGTTTAAAACCAGTTCTGACAAAAGTCATTAGTGAAATAGGGTTAGAAAGATTTTTGCTATGTTTAATAAGGAAACAATAGGAACATTTCCTTTAAAAGCAGACAAAGTATAAGATTGCCAATTGTTATCATTTCTAGACATAAGCCATTAGGTAAAATGAATTTAAATATAATTAGCCAAAACAAGAAAACAAAATTTTAATTATTTGCAAAGAAAATCAGCAAGAAAAACGCTGTATCAAAAGAATACAGTAAAGTAAATGATTATGAATTAAATACATACAACCTGAAAGTTTCATATTTGTTTTTATATTTTATTTACATCAGAATTAGACGTGTATATAATTTTAAAAGTGTAATCATTATGCAAGGTCGGTTAAACAAAATGAAACAGCAGAGACAACCAGTATTGCTTGTATTTGCTGATTATCTCCCCATTTCTATAAAATATAATTCGTTTTTTCAGTTTTAAGTATATTTTTGAATTCCTAGTAGGGAAATAGGAACCAACCTCTTTTTCTTAATCTTTTTTTCTGCACATTCCCACCCTTTTCATCTCTTCACTTTCCTAACAGAGTTTTATGATAATTTTGGTTAGACTGAAATCTAGTATTTCGACTACTATTATGATTAAATAGTGCCATTTATAGCTAAGTCATGTACTAAGCCATTATGACTTTCTTTTTCCTATCAAATCATCGGTCACAAAGGTCTTTCTTTGTTGGAGACAAAAAACAGAAATCATTTAATTATTTGACTGAAATGACTGTCCAAAATGAAAAATGCATGATATATAAATGTATATATGTCAAGCAAATACTAAAAGCATTTTGAAATTTATGCTATAATAAACAATTATTTTCTTAATATACAGTGATCTTTCAAATCAATAGGAATAAATGAATTATTTCCCAAAAATGGACTAATGCAATTAATAAAAAGACATATTTGAAATGAACAAGCAAGAAAACATGTGAACTTCGTTAGTAATTATAAAGATGTATACAAAATGCCCATGACATGTCATATTTTCCTCATCAAATTGTCAACAGATGAAGAAGAAAAGAGGTAAGATCCATTGTTAAGGAAGATTTGAATATAGGCTGTCACTATGTCATAGGTTGTATTCCTCCAGAAGGCACTGAGACAGTAATTTAACCACAGATAAATCACTCTGGGAGGTGGTTCCAGGATTCACTGGTAGGAAAATCAGTAAGTGAGGAAAGGGAAAGTCCGATTACCACTGTTTGAAAGTGAATCTCATCTTTGCTGAGGGAACTCAGGAAGACTGTTGTACAATGTAGCTCACAGCTTTCTCATCTATGGGACCAGGAAATGGGTATTTATCCTCCCAACCATCGACCATTGGCAGAGGGCTGCTCCCATGAAGGTTATTGCACTGGCACTACCAGCCTGCCCCATATATATGGGCCTAAAGAAAGCCTTCACAGGGAGAGTCGCGGATGCTTACAGTTGAAAGTCATTAACAAGTATTAGACTAGTGAGTGTCAATGAAGTGTCTGCAGGGCCTCAACAGTGTTTCATAACACTGTCATGCAATGTAAGTGGGTTTATGATTTGGTATGATGTAATCTTTCTGTATGGCATCTAGGTATTCATCTCTCTGCCTGTATACCAACCTACTACCTGTCTCTATCTACATGCTCCTACTATTAGGAAATTATTTAAATTTGTCAATTTGCACCCATTTTATGGTGATATCTTTCTGTTCCTTACACATTATTTTATTCTGAAATTACAGTCTTGATTTGCTATCTCCTAACCTATACAAATTTATTTTTTCCATATAACTATGGCAATTTGGGGTTCAATTTCTTAAGTCTTTATAGCAATTTTAAAAATTTCTGTTTTCTATTTGCATATAAGTGTGTACTTCTTAGTCTTTCAATCATCATTCTGGCACACTACCTGCTTCGAAATGTGGGTCTTATTTTACCAGGATTATGTGGGACTGGCTTATTTCTGTTTGTTTTTTGTTTTGCTTTGTTTTTGTTTCTGTTTTTTATTCTCTAAGAGTATAATACATACATTTCTTTCAAGCACTTTTTTTTTTTCAGAGTCTCACTCTGTCACACAGGCTGGAGTGCAGTGGTATGATCTCATCTCACTGCAACCTCCGCCTCCCTGGTTCAAGCAATTCTCCTGCCTCAGCCTCCCGAGTAGCTGGGATTACAGGTACCTACCACCAGGCCTGGCCAATTTTTGTATTTTTAGTAGAGATGGGGTTTCACCTTGTTGGCCAGGCTGGTCTCGAACTCCTGACCTCAGTTGGTCCTCCAGCCTCGGCCTCCCAAAGTGCTGGGATTACAGGTGTGAGCCACTGCACCTGCCCAAGCACATGTATTTTTATTTATACAACCTAGAATTTAGAATTATTTCTAAGTTGTTACTTTTAGTGAAGGTTTCAATCATTTATATTCCTTGTTTAAGGTAATCTAAAATAATTCTTAATTGTAGCCATTTTATTTTTTAAAATTTGGCATTGAATCATTATTATTTACAAATTATGCTGTATAATAGTAAAATAATTTGATACTTCATAAAATCAAATAATTTATCACAAAGTAAATACATTTGCAATGTGTTCAACAAAATAATTTATTGTTCAAAAAGTAAGCAAATAATATTTGGCTTGCATCATCTAAATTTTTTGACTTTAGATTATTAGTTATAGAAAGATAGCTGCTTTGTTGTTCTGTAATTGGCTTTTTTCATCTTCTACTTTTCTTGAGTTCTGTTATTTGTCTTCTCTCCTCTGAGTTTCATTGTTTTCTTGCTCTGTATTATCACAAGTTGCATTTAAATTGACTTTAATTCTTTCTCAGGCTTTTTGCCAAATAATAGGAATTTTATTTTATTTTATTTTATTTTATTTTTGGTATTTATCCCTAGAAGCCTAAGTTCCCTGTTTAAGTTTCAGGCTTTAATAGAGTTCATTTTTAACTTAGTTCAGTTGATTTCTTATTATATTTATTATTTTCTTATTCATTAGTGTAGCTTTTTCTTACATATATGTCTTAAAGAATATTTTGCTCCATCTAATTAGTTTGTCTCTCATACTCTTCTTTTTTGAAAACTGTCTTCGTAATTTTCCTAAGTTTCTTAATGTTGGCATAATTAAAATTCACTTTCTTACTGTTTCTGTTTCCCTGTCTTTTCCTTAAAATCCCAAAATTAATTAACCTGTAATCATGTTAATTGAGCTTATTTCCTTTGGCTTTGATTGGCATAAGCCCTGGTAAAGCAACACAAAAAAGCAGTATGTGTAAAGGAAACCTGGGGCAATAGAACTGAGAATCCCAATTCTACTTTACTTCCCTCCCTCTCAATATGTTTCCATACAAATTAAATTACTGAGATATTCAGTTCTAATAAAACATTATTTTGTGTTTTTATGCCTTACCTCTCCAGTAAGAGTATAAGAATCTTAAGGGAAAAATGTCTGCTTAGAACTTGTATTTTCTACAACATTGCAACTCAAAGTGTGCACCCAGACATTTGCATTTGGCATTCCCACGAAACTCGTTAGAAATACAAAATCCCGGGCTCCATCCCAGACACACTGAATCAGAATTTTCATTTTAACAAAATTCTCATGTGAATTGCATTCACAGTATATAGATTGAGAAGCAATGACATGTAACATACCTTACACTATGATAAACCCTGGGAAAATCATTGTTGTAGTCTTTAGTCATCTCTGAACTAATGAAGGCAGACTGTAGTCAAGATCTAACAGTCTTCCTAAAATGACTAAAGTGTTCACCTTCACAATTGCTAAATACTTACATCTAATAAACTTCAGTAACAAAATTAAATCTGTAATTTTATTTAAAAGCCTTATATTTTTATCACCAATTTATTTTTAAACTTTCAGTAGTCAAATTTGATGGTGCAGAGTTGAAATATTACCTCACAGTACTTTTAACTGATGTCTGTATTTTGTGGTCACTTTAATGAATATTTTTGATACTAAATACAAGTTCACTTTCAAATGATGTCAATTACAAAACATGTATTGAAGATGCCCTATTTTTCTTAAACATTTTCTTATTTCTTTTATTCTTTATTAGGTCTGGATTGTAAAAGTTTGATAATGGATGTTATCACGAGCAATTTTGGAATTACATTTTTCTTCTTTCAATCAATATATAGTCTAAATTTAATTTTTAAAATTAAATATAATTTATCATTCGTATAGATTATTTCACTTATTATTATGGTCTAATAGTAGAACAATTATGCAAATATTTGCATTATCTAATCTCTATTTTTGCATTGTTTCATTATTTTTTACAAATAGTGTTGTATCAATTACAAAGGCATTTGTAGGAATATCAGTTTGCTTTCTGTTGCTTATAACAGAATATCTGAAACTGGATAATTTATTCAAGAATTAGAATTTATTTCTTACCACTCTGGAGACTGAGAAGTCCAAAGTTGAGCTGACACAGCTGGTTAGGGCCTTCTCGCTGGTAGGGAATCTCTGCGGAGTCCCGAGGCAGCCCAGGCTATTAAGTGGTGAGGGGTCTGCACATGCTCACATGCTAGCTCGAGTCTCTTCTTCATTTTTTGTTTGTTTGTTTGTTTTTGAGGTAGGGTCTCACCTTGTCACCCAGGCTGGAGTGCAGTGGCACAATCTCCGCTTACTGCAGTCTCAAACTCTTGGGCTCAAGCAGTCCTCCCAATTCAGCCCTCCAATTAGCTGGGACTACAGGCACGTGCCACCACATCAGGCCAATTTTTTTTTTTTTAAGTTTTTGTAGAGATGGGGTTTCGCTGTGTTGCCCAGGCTGGTCTCAAACTCCTGAGCTCAAGCCATCTGCCTGCCTCGGCCTCTCAAAATGCTAGGATTACAGGAATGAGCTACCTCTCTTCTTATAAAGCCAGGAGTTAGGGATAATAGGGGTTGAGGGGAGAGAAATTGTAAAGGGATCCTTGTGGTAATGGAAATATTTAGTATCGTCATAGTAGTTATAGGGACATGAACTTACACATGTTAGAAAATTGTTGTGCTAGTCCGTTTGCACACTGCTATAAAGAACTGCCCGGCACTGGGTAATTTATAAAGGAAGGAGGTTTAATTGATTCATAGTTCTGCATGGCTGGGGAAGGCTCAGAAAATTTACAATTATGGCAGAATGCAAAAAAGAAGCAACTACCGTCTTCACAAGGTGGCAGGAAAGAGAGGGGAGAGTAGGGAAAACTGCCACTTACAAAACCATCAGATCTTGTGAGAACTCAGCATGGGGGAGATGGCCCACATGATCCAATCACCTCCCACTAGGTCCCTCCCTCCACACATGGGGATTACAGGTGGAGATGAGATTTGACTGGGGACACAGATCCAAATCATATCAATTGTATAGAGCTAAATGTACAAAAACACACACAAATGTTCCCTTCTCATAATAATGCATTAATCCGTTAACTCATTTAACGATGAATAAATTAATCCGCAAATGAATTAATCACTTCTCAAAGGCCCTACCTTTCAATACTGTCACACTGGGAATTAAGTTTCCAACATATGAAATTTGGGGGACACATTCAGACCACAGCACCATTATCTTTAAATTATTTAGCATACATAGTCTCTTAGCAGTTGTTATGCCAATCTATTTCTCCATAGCTATTTTAGAGTGAGTAGCTATTCCTCCATAGCTATTTTAGAGTATGAATTGTTTTGTACATAAAATTAATAGCTTTTAAGTCATTTTTTATTTCATTTTACTCTTGCAATAATAGCAATTACTTTTTAAGAATTTTATTTTTATTGAAATTGTATTAAGATTATGGATTCACATGCAATTGTAAGAAGTAAAACAGAGATCCCATCTATCCTTTAATTCATTTCCCCTAATGGTAACATTTTGCAAAATTATTTTACAATATCATAACCAGGATATTGACATTGATACCATCCACCAATCTTATTCAACTCTCCCAGTTTTACTAATATTGTATGTGCGTAGGTGTGTGTATGTACATTTAGCTCCATACAATTTTATCATGTGTGTAGGTTCAGGTGTCTACCATCATTGTAAAGATACTGGAGAGCTCCATTTCCACAAGTATCCCTTTGCAATCTTCCCCTCAACCCCTGCTGTCCCTAACCCCAGTCTGTTCATTTCTAACATTTCATCATTTCAAAATGTCACATAAATAGAATCAAACAATATGATACCATTTGGGGATGCCTTTTTTTTTCACTCAACATATTTATTTGAAGGTCCATTCAAGTTGTTGAACGTATCTACAGTCTGTTGCTTTTTATTGCTGTATAGCATTGCATGGTATGGATGTACCACAGCTTGTTTAACCATTCATCTGTGGAATGACCTCTGGGGCATTTCCAGATTTGAGCTGTTACAAATAAAGCTGCTATGAATATTTTTGTACAGTTTTTGTGTGAACATATGTTTTAATCTCTTAAGTTTTAATTTAATTTTTACTTCATTTGACTGATAATTCCGACATGTAAAACACATAAGAATATTTTCACTTCAAGTTAAACCTATATTTTAAAATGGATGATCAAATAATACTAATAATAATTCTGAAACATGCTATGTCCATATTACTGATTAAATTGATTACCTAAGTTGGCAAGCAGTGTGATTACATTATCACAATTTTGTACAAATTCTATTTTTAATATAACTTTGGCTATTTAAACTTTTAAAGGTCAAGACTAAAACTGAACTGAATAACAGTTTTGCCAAATATATCAGCCAAATCTTAATGCATTGTTATTGCCTAGAACAAGCCTAACAGCTAATTTTACTGAATTAAATAGTTGTCACCATTCACTTGTTAATAATTAATCCAGATTTCATGCTCAAAGTGGTGAATTATGAAGAAAAAAATGCATCTGTTACATGACAGGAACTTTACAAACTTTGACTAAATTATGTGTGTGTGTGTGTATGTATGTCTGTATCTGTGTATTATCCTTCTATATTTAACTCATCCATTACTATCCATTTTATTAAATTAGTATTAAATACTTATCAAAGGCAGAAGCAGAACTAATGCTTAAAATTTAAAGATTAAATAATATAATCTTCACTTTCAAATGCCTCATTGTTTAGAGTCTATATGGCTGAAACAAAAAGTTCCATGTTGTAATTATGACTAAATATTATGCTGATGGATAGACAGCAGTAGATAATTTTAAATAACTTATAATAATACAGAGAAAAAATTATTTTACCACAGAGTATCAGAATTCCTTTGTGTGTGCATTATATTATATATATATATATATAGAGAGAGAGAGAGAGAGAGATAAAAAGGGGGTGGAGAGAGAGAGAGACCCAACTTTATTAAAATGCTTCTATTTTTCTGGATATGTCACATTTGAGATATTGATTTGCATTTTAATTCTTTCTTATTTTCTTCCCCATGTAGGTAGGTGACATTCTTCACTAATGTCCTCAGTTTTGTGTCAGGGCTGAAACCAGAGATATCTGCAACATTTTTACTAGCTTTGCTTTTTTAAAGTTTATATATTCTTAGGAAAATGTAGGTTTGCCCAAATGGCAGAAAAAAGGAAGAAGATTCCTGGGTAGAGACTGAGTCTGTGAAGAAACAAGAGGGTGAAAAAGTGAGTAAAGCTTCTTCCCAACACTGAAATAAATTCTGCGTGGGAGGAGAAATATAGAGAGACCTATGTTTCCTTGAGTTACATGTCTCGAGGGCTGCTTTCTAGTGGGATCCCCAAAGCTGTGAGAAACTGTGGAACATGATTTCTCCCTGGTACACCTAGGCAGACAGGGTTACAGTCTACTTCATAAGATTTATTTCACTCACATATCAGAGTACTATTGATCCTGAACAGTCATTGGGATAGGGATGAGGGACATCTCAGAGACATGTTGAACTACCTCACTAATATGGTGTAAGACTTTGACTTTTGGCATAATCTAGACAAGAGATACCTCTGGAATGATGGAGATTTATATTTCCTCCCATTTGGGAGATTAAGGCTCAAAAATAAATAAATAAAACAGAAAGATAAGCAATGGTTTGTTTGAACTTGAGTTTGTGGTTTGAAAGTCATACTCACTCACAGGGTCACACTGGGGTAGAAACAAGCTTCTCTGACCTGGGTATTGGTCTGAGGCTCAGGGTGTTTAGGGAAGCAGCAGTGCTCTTTTCAATGAATAAGAGGGAGGGGGTGATAGAGACAACCATAGCTCCCAGGAAGGGGCAAAAGAGAGGAAAAGCCGAGTTTGGCTACACAGAGGCAGAGGAAGAATGAAATGTCTTAAGAGGACATGGTAATGTGTGTGTTGTAAATATCTCCTCCTCTCCCTTAAGAAATCTTTAAAACTAAAACTGAAAATCCTCCAAAGGTGAATTTGATAGGATTTAAAAATAAAACCGTGGAGGGTTGATGTTTGCATAGTGATTTCAATGAGCTAGACAGAAAGGCTGTGAGGATGAGAACACCTGACATCTGGCTTACAAACTGATTATTAAGGTAGCTAAAACTCAAGTTTGTCATGCTCTCAGTATCAGATATATAATTAGAAAGCAGAGTTTGTGTTTATCTGGGCAAAAGAAAAAAATGTTTACCAGACCACATCAACCTTTCTCTCTTTAAAATCCAAGTAATCAAAAAATACGAATGTACATTTTGTATATATACACACACATATAAACAGTATGTAGTGTGTGTGTGTGTATATATATATATATACACACACAATACACATTTTGAAATAAATTTTTGTTCTGTTTATTGCTGATTTTATTTTCTACAGCATTGACTTTATGCAAATGGCTATATGCTATAGACTTTTTAAGATGGAACTAAGGTAATAAAGTAGCTATGTATTTTGGTAGTCACTGCTAGAATGATCTATGGAGTCTTGTATCACTGAGCACCTACTGGGCCCTTTGATTATATGCAATGATATAAAAAAAACTGCAATATTTTTCACAGTGAGTTCATTGGAGACAAGCCTTACTATAGATTTCATAGTATTATTATTTGTGTTATAAACAAGAAAAATCCCATATAAAAGCCCATATTGTGTTACTGAGGTTTCTCTCTGGGCTCAGAAATAAAAGGAAAAGAACATGTACATTTCCTACGCTGCAGTATCTAGTTATACTGGTCTTGTTTTTTCTCCATTCATCACCTGGAGAGTTTGACATTTATAGTTTGCTAGTGAGTGAGTTTTAGAGCAGAGAGATGGGTCACTTTGATGCTAATATCCGCAGAGACTATAATATTAACACCAATAAGAGTTGTTAGATGATCTTGACAAACTCCTTCTTAGTTCCTTGTTTTTACTTTTCCTAGAAACACCTGGATGCTGAGAGACTTGTACCATAGAAGTCTGAAATCAGGTAGTTACCCTAGGTTTTATGTCCAGGCATCTTAATTTCACAGTCACACGTTTCACATTACAGTCATGTGATGGAAGGTTGAAATGAGAAAGAGACTTCTGGGTTTGACTTGAGACAAAGGTTTGCTCACTGATGCCCCCCAGTAAAGACTCTTCCATTGTATAACTATCTCCCTTGTCATTTACAAATGTTCAAACTTGACCTTAGATAAAAAATCTTGTCCATTCCCTAATTTTACAAAATGGCATGAAAATTTTTGTCTGACTGGAAGTTGAGGTGGGGAGTCAAGAAGCTAAATTGAAAGGGAAAGCAATAGTAGAAGGGTGTTAGATAAATTATTAGGAGAGATATTCAATATTGGCATTTTCTATGGGGAGGAAAAATATGGAAAATATGGAGCAGGAAATAAAGCATGTGCTATCTAAGTCTCCTAGTCAACTGACATTGTCCACTTTATCAGGTGTTTATTGAACTTCCACTGAATGTACACTGAACTTAGAACCCAACCATAAACAGTTAAAATATTGTCAGCAAAATGAAACATTCATGGCTAAAAGAAGGTTGATAGTTATTAATTTCATATAATTACAAAGTAAAAGCAGTGACAGAAATAATGAATTCATAGGACTTCAGAGGAGGAGAGGGTGTTTGGGAGTATGTGCGTATCAGCCTTATTTCTCCACTGGGGAGCAAAATACAGAACAGCCTTTTGTACAGCCAGAGTTAGTAGTCTTCAAGTGGAGGCAAAAACTTTCAAGGTCGTTTTTCCCATAGAAAAATGGAATATTACCATATGTTCTTGAAAATGGGAAAAAATAATGAAAGAAATGTCACTTTCGGAAGATTGATCTGGAAAGACTGCAGGCATCATACAGAGTAAGTTAGCCAGTTTTGGTAGACCATGACAAATAAGCGAGAGAAAATATTGTTTTGATTATCTTTGCTTGCTAGTAAAAAGAAAAGCTATTCCTGTGTTATGGCCTCGTTGCTGAATGCTAACCTTCACTTTACCCTGAGCTGAAAACCACCTTTGGAATCTGCATGACCTCTACTAACTAGAGCTCCCAGACTGGGCAGTGGTACAGAAGCTTCTGTCTGCATGAACTCCTGGGCCTTACAAACAGCCTAAGACACCTGGAATAATCTGCCCAGAGCCACAACAAGGCATCCATGTATCAAGTATATGTGTTAAGTCCTTAGGCTAGACCACCATTTTATTTATGGTCTCCTAAGAATATGCACATCTCTATCAGATGTTGAGGTTTTATTGTTGTGTTTTTATTGCTGTGTTTTTCTAAACTCCATTTATCAAGTGAATTTTAATGCCTATTTTTAATTATTAGATGTTCACTCTGATATGCCACTGCCTCTGTATTCAAGTCCTGTCTCTTTTCAGGACACTAACTCTGACCCTTGGTTGTGCAACCTTCTTTCTGATCTAATTCCTTACGGACTTGCATTGGCTCTAATTAAGGCGTAACCCTGCTTCCTCATTCCAGTTTTGCATGAGATCATTAGCTCTGAACTTGCCTTTGCCCTTCAGAGATGTGCTATTTTCACATTCACTCCTTCTGAACATAACTAATTCCATGCCGTAGCTCTTGGCTTGTGTGCCATGTCATCCACTCTCCTTTGGATATTCTCTGCTGATTTTGCACCCTATCTTCTTTGAACCCCACCAAACGGCTTGGTGTCGTTTGACCACTGGCTCGTGGCCATCTTTACTTCTGCAAATGCTTTGTTTTTGTTGTTGTTTCTGGGGTTTTGTTTGCTTGTTTCTTTGAAAGTTCTTTCCGTACCCTTATTATTGTGGGTCGTTGAAACATGTCAAAAATCATTTCAAAATCTACTGATTACAAAAAGTATTTTTGTCTGTTTACTTAACACTATTATGCATTTTATGTAACTTCATTATTTTATTAACATTCTAGACAGATTTAGAGTACACATTTGCACTCATTTCTAACCCAATTTATTCCAAAATTCATTTAAATACTTATATATACAGCACAGTGAAATTAGGAAAAATTATAAAAATAAAAATTAGGGGCACAAATTAATATGAATATTACTGTCTTAAACTTTTGGCTGGAGATCAGACACACAGAAAAATAAGCAAAAGAGAAATGTATCAGCAATCAGAATCAATTTCTAAAAACAAATTATTTCATCCTGAGACCAGACAGACATTCACGTATGAATCTCCCATAGAGAAAACAGTATGTAGTATAAGGGTAAATATCTTTAAAATACCTTTACAGTAATCATCTACAAATTCTAAATAAACAACATAATTAAACCTTATGCCTGTCATATGTTTGTTTAATCTTGTAGGTAGATCGAATGGATACTTTCATTTCAGAAAATATATTTAATAATTTATTAAATTATATATTTTATTTAAGGAATTAATAATAAAACATTCTTTTTATTTCAATAATTTTAAAATAAAACTTCAAAACTGAACTACCAAGTCTGAATCCAGTCCAACTCTGAGCTGAAGAAAACAAAAAATGAAAATGTAAAATATAAAGCAGGCAAAGCTAACTCTTAAAAAAAAGTTTTCCAAGATCAGTATTAATGGTTTCCCCTTTGCAGAAATTATTTCTTTTCCTTTGGCTGATTCACTAAGTCTGAGTTAGAAGAACCAATAATGTAATAGACTGGTCCAGCGAAAAAGTCAGCTGTATAAGGAAGAGAACTGACTATCCAGGAAAAAACGGTAACTTCATTGGTCAGCTTCTCTAACAGTTTTCTTAGTTCCTGTGGGCTTCTAGGCTTCTGATTGTCTGTGATGTTGAAAGCCAACAACTGGTGTTTTATTAGAAGCCAAAGCTGGAGAAGTATCTTGAGATACCTCACACACATACACATACACACACGCACTTTCCATTTTCTTTCTTATAGAACATATCAGGAATAGATCAGGAAGAAATCTTCCACTTCCACCCACAGGAGTTGTGCAATGAAGTTCTATGTTTGAATCTATAAACAATCCAATGCCTTTCTAAAAACTATTTTAGGTACTCTTAAAAATCTCAAAATTTGAATTATCATTTCAGTCAGATCAAATATTCAAGTCTCAAAATCTACATTTTTTTTTCTAATGTAGTTCTTAGCTACCACATTGCTTTCTTTTATCACAAATGTAAAATTAAGACACACAATTGTCCAAATTGATCATTTAGTCCCAGGTATGGAAAGACATCCTGAAAATCAGGATATGACTTACCCAGATTAATAGAATGGTAAATGGGAGAATCAAACAGCCAGAAATGAGGCTCCATATTGTTTCTCTCTTCCCTAGAAACATTACCCAAAATTTGACTTTTAGATCAATCTCTAAAGAATATTTCTTTAAAAAAAAAAAAAAAGAAGAAGAAGATTTCTGTGCTTATTCACTCATTCATTCGTCACTTCCTGTGTCTTCCCATCCAGCCCTTGCTCAAATCCAGTCTTTCCAGGGATCTACAAAGTACTGCTTGACCACTGCCCACTACTTCTGTGATATGTACCCCCTGAGCTGCCTTTGTTCACTCACTCCAGCCACACTTGCTTCCTCTCAGTTCTGTGAACATGCTGGACACGATCCTATCTCTCAATGTCATAACACTTGTTGTTATTTTTGTCTAAAACACCCATTTCCAAATATGCTCATGTCTTGCTTCCTCACTTCATCATTTCTTGCCTAAATATCACCTAGTCAGAGAAGTGTTCCTGCTACTCTACAGAAATGACAACTCCCTTGTTGCTGATGATCAGTTTTTATTCCTCTTAGCTCGTTTCATTTTTCTTCATAGTTCTTCTCACTACTGGAAAAAATGTATATTTATTGGTTTATTGTCATCATTCCTGATAGAATCCAAGACTCTTAAGAAAAGGAGCTTCATTGTTTTTTTTCACTGCAGATTCTCAGTGTCTAAAGGCAGAGCTTCACTTATAGTAGGTTTTCATCAAGGATTTCTCGAGTGAATAATTTATTGATTCATATATTTAATTGGTATTGAATACTTACTGTGTGTCAGTTTTTGTGTTATGCAGGAAGAGAAAATAAAGCAGATGCGGGCTCCACCATCAAGTAAGGTTGAAGGATTCAGGGGGACAGACACTGGACATGTTAAAACACACATGAAAATACAACAAAAATGAAACAAAAGAACTGGTTGCTATGGGCAAACTTACTAGAGTGTGGTCTAGGTTACATTGAAATCAAAGAAGAGGTCTCCAAGGATATGACATTTAAGTTCATACCTAGATAAAGTGGAGAACAAAATGTTGCAAAGAGTGAGGATAAGAATGCTCCCTGCAGAGAGGAATAGAACTTACAAAGTTAGAGGAAGAAAAAAGAAGGCTATTTTCACTGTACTGCCGGCAGTTAAATAATAAGTGTAGAACTCAGAAGAGATATCTGAGTTCTATATAGATTTGCAAGTAATTAGCATAAAACTGGTTTGTAAAACTCTGAAAATGGATGAATTCCCCTATGGAGAGATTATGGAGAGAGTAAGTCCAGACCAAGGCTGAGGAAGTCCAACATTTAGTAATTAGGGAGTGAAATGTGAAAAAGAGGAGACTGCAAAGAAACAGTTGGAGAAGATGAAAGACAGAATAACTAATACTATGGAAGGCAATGAGAGAAAGGATCTCAGAAGATACTATCTGGCTCCTTTGAACAATTGAGAGGCCCCCCAAAAAAGACTTAAAATTGGCCATGGCTATGACAGCACAGAGGCTATTGTTGCTTTCCCCCATGAGATTTTTGCAGTGTCATGGAGAAGAAATACACGTTGCTGAGAGAATGAGAAAATGGAAGGGGAAGAAGTGGAGGCTGTGTGTATGTAAAATGTGTTCCAGGAGTTGAATTATGATGAAAAGCTAGCAAATTAGGGGGAGAAGTGGAAGAGAAAGGGATGTATGATAAGGGGAACATTTGCGTTAAGAGGCAGCTATTAGAGTGTGCTTCATTGTCAAACTGAAGAACAATATAAAGGAGGAGACATTTCTTTATTTAAAAATGTATGTGCCTACCAAATTCTGCTGTGAATTTCAAGAAATTCATGAATTTCATTAAACCCTTTCAGAATTCATGGGTCCAAGTTTAACAGCAGCTGTGCTAACATGTACTTATTCAATTTTTTTAAAAAGAATGGGCAAAAACTGGAAGCATTCCCTTTGAAAACTGGCACAAGACAGGGATGCCCTTTCTCACTACTCCTATTCAACATAGTGTTGGAAGTTCTGGCCAGGGCAATTAGGCAGGAGAAGGAAATAAAGGGCATTCAATTAGGAAAAGAGGAAGTCAAATTGTCCCTGTTTGCAGATGACATGATTGTATATCTAGGAAACCCTATTGTCTCAGCCCCAAATCTCCTTAAGCTGATAAGCAACTTCAGCAAAGTCTCAGGATACAAAATCAATATGCAAAAATCACAAGCATTCTTATACACAAATAACAGACAAACAGAGAGCCAAATCATGAGTGAACTCCCATTCACAATTGCTTCAAAGAGAATAAAATACCTAGGAATCCAACTTACAAGGGATGTGAAGGACCTCTGCAAGGAGAACTACAAACCACTGCTCAATGCAATAAAAGAGGATACAAACAAATGGAAGAACATTCCATGATCATGGGTAGGAAGAATCAATATCATGAAAATGGCCATAATGCCCAAGGTAATTTATGGATTCAATGCCATCCCCATCAAGCTACCAATGCCTTTCTTCACAGAATTGGAAAAAACTACTTTAAAGTTCATATGGAACCAAAAAAGAGCCCGCATTGCCAAGTCAATCCTAAGACAAAAGAACAAAGCTGGAGGCATCACGCTACCTGACTTCAAACTATACTACAAGGCTACAGTAACCAAAACAGCATGGTACTGGCACCAAAACAGAGATATAGACCAAGGGAACAGAACAGAGCCCTCATAAATAACGCCGCATATCTACAACTATCTGATCTTTGACAAACCTGAGAAAAACAAGCAATGGGGAAAGGATTCCCTGTTTAATAAATGGTGCTGGGAAAACTGGCTGGCCATATGTAGAAAGCTGAAACTGGATCCCTTCCTTACACCTTATACAAAAATTAATTCAAGATGGATTAAAGACTTACATGTTAGACCTAAAACCATAAAAACCCTAGAAGAAAACCTAGGCAATACCATTCAGGACATAGGCATGGGCAATGACTTCATGTCTAAAACACCAAAAGCAATGGCAACAAAAGCCAAAATTGACAAATGGGATCTAATTAAACTAAAGAGCTTCTGCACAGCAAAAGAAACTACCATCAGAGTGAACAGGCAACCTACAGAATGGGAGAAAATTTTCGCAACCTACTCATCTGACAAAGGGCTAATATCCGAATCTACAATGAACTCAAACAAATTTACAAAAAAAAAAAACAAACGACCCCATCAAAAAGTGGGTGAAGGATATGAACAGACACTTCTCAAAAGAAGACACTTATGCAGCCAAAAAACACATGAAAAAACGCTCACCATCACTGGCCATCAGAGAAATGCAAATCAAAACCACACTGAGATACCATCTCACACCAGTTAGAATGGCAATCATTAAAAAGCCAGGAAACAACAGGTGCTGGAGAGGATGTGGAGAAACAGGAACACTTTTACACAGTTGGTGGGACTGTAAACTAGTTCAACCATTGTGGAAGTCAGTGTGGCGATTCCTCAGGGATCTAGAACTAGAAATACCATTTGACCCAGCCATCCCATTACTGGGTATATACCCAAAGGATTATAAATCATGCTGCTAGAAAGACACATGCACATGTATGTTTACTGCGGCACTATTCACAATAGCAAAGACTTGGAACCAACCCAAATGTCCAACAATGATAGACTGGATTAAGAAAATGTTGCACATATACACCATGGAATACTATGCAGCCATAAAAAATGATGAGTTCATGTCCTTTGTAGGGACATGGATGAAATTGGAAGTCATCATTCTCAGTAAACTATTGCAAGAACAAAAAACCAAACAGCACATACTCTCACTCATAGGTGGGAATTGAACAATGAGAACACATGGACACAGGAAGGGGAACATCACACTCTGGGGACTGTTGTGGGGTTGGGGGAGCGGGGAGGGATAGCTTTAGGAGATATACCTAATGCTAAATGACGAGTTAATGAGTGCAGCACACCAGCATGGCACATGTATACATATGTAACTAACCTGCACATTGTGCACATGTACCCTAAAACTTAAAGTATAATAATAATAAAATAAAATAAAATAATAAAAAAGGATGAGCTTTCACATATAATTTTGAAATATGAGATTTGTATCTCCATGTAGTTGCCTCTGATAGATATTTATTTGTGAAGAAATCTACCTTCTCTCCTTTGGACACTGGGAAAAAAATTCTGACCCTATGTAGGTGATCAAGTAATTGCTAGTATTTCTGCCTATTGCCATATTTCTGAAAAACCTACAGAGCAGGTGTATAAAGTTTAAAGACATTTTCTCTACTTTTAGGAGAGTTACTTAGGCTGTACAGTTCAGTGTCATGATCATTTCAAAATTATTTCTACTGGTACTAATGGCTGAACTGATCATAGATAGAGAGTACACGTGACTCATTGGTCACCTTTATACCGAGTAGTTCTGCTTCTCTGCAATGGGATCGTAATAAGGAAAGCTGACCATGTCTACATTATTGTGCTTTCTCCTCTACACAAGTCCAAGAATATCCCCACCCCTAGAATCCAAAAATGATAGAAATGAGTACAAGTGGGAGGGACTACATAGCCTTTTCTGTAATTAAACCAATATAATTAAATAATTATAATAAATGTTTTCCAAATGAAGATAGAGAACACCTTCATGTCAGTATCAACAGCAGCAGAATTACTTATTTTAAAAACAAAAGTTCGTATGTGTTACCTAGCCAAGTCACTGGGAACAAACTCAGAATGAAGGTTTTATTTTGCTTTTCCGGTGTAAGCATTTTCTAGTATCCTTCAGCTAAAAACACCATGCATACTTGAATGTTGCCATAAATTCTTTGGAGAAAACAGGATAAAGCATTATTTTAATGGAGCTGGAAACCAAAGTAATGTACACATATGCCACTGTTCTGAAGGTGATGACCACAGAGAATGCAAGGTGACAGAAGGCAAGATTGGAGACTGGGAGAGACCCTCTGATGAAGTGCTCTGGCCCAGGCTTTTAATTCCCTTTTTCTCACAAGGAGGTAAGGTGCTAGTAGGCATCAAGGCTTGGCCAGGTTATATTAAGTCTTTCATCCATCAAACATGTTTTTCTGCTTCTGTCAGTGACTGATACCTGATAAAAATTCTTATCATTTACCCAGCGCTTTGTATTTTCAATGTACTTTACAGTCATCATATGAGTATCTCCACGTGAGGCTCAATTTGTATTAAATCCACTATCCTCTCTGCTCCCATCCTGTGCTTTTTTACTGATAAGTAAGCCTACCGCAGTAAAATTTGCTAATGGAGTATGTTTATCTGACTAGTATATGGCAGTCTTGAAGTCACTATCAATTTAAAGAGATCTCTTTATAGGTAAATATTTCAGTGTAGACATATTTTGGCATGAATGGAATTATACAGTACAAATATTTCTTAAAACTATTTTTTATGTGATTAATTATGGACAATTTGCTAAAGGCTTATTTGTATAGTACATATTCTCTACAATGTTTGATGTGAAAGACAGTAATTTTTTTAGCTTCTGAGATTGTCAGTAATGTCACTTCTTCTTAAAGTGTCTTTATTATCACTTAGTCACAACAGAGAAATCAGGACCCAAAACAACAGCCCTGAGATGTCTTTTTAAGATAAAGGAACTGAGGTGATGAGCTTGAAAGGCCCTATCGGTGAAGCAAATACGGGATTATATGAGGGCCCTTGAATTTGTGAAAAGGGTTTGCATAAAATTTATTGGCAAGAATATTGTACAATTTTACCAATGGCTGGCTTATTCAATAAATCACATAATCCTGAAAAGCAGATGTTATAGTCATTTTAAAAATAAATAAACCTAATTGTTGACTTACAAAGGAATGTTCAGAGCCAAATTAAACACTGGTAATTATAAATTTAAATATTTTTAAAACTGAGACTAACAGCTTATAATGAGTACATGCAATGTGCCTCAATAATTTCAAAATGCTGTCATGATAATTTAGAATTAAATAGAAAAGATCATGTACACAAAGAGCTGGTGTTAATATACGTAGGCTGTTGAAAATCATATTATTTATACTGTATATGCCAACAATTTGTTAGTTTCTGTCTTCTGTAATTTCATTTTAATTTCAAATAATTATATGCAATCTATATTTTATCTCCAATTGAAAAAATGAAACTTACTCACATGGATTTCTACTGTACAACACTTGCTCCCAGCTGAGCAGAAAAATAATTAAACACTAAGAAATAAAATGTGAAAAAGCAAGAAGGCAGATAAACTTCAAAATATTAAAGAAGATATAGACATAAAGTGTTATAAAATATAGAAAATATAGAAAGTTATAATTTGATATGAAGAGCATTCATTATAGAATCAATGTCCTTGTCAGAAGCTTCATTTCTTATAGAAGACAATCTATGAAACATAGCACTTATATTCCTGGATGCTGGAAAACCTATGTAATAGTAGAAAATATTTAATGATATAACACAAATTTTGTGTAAAGAGTAAATATTACAATTGGGAATCTAAGGCAAGAGAAAGAAGACAAATAGTGGAAGACAGTGAAACAGCACTTAGGAAATCAGACAGGGTCTCTAAATGGGGAAAATTTTCAAGGTATATGGTCCAAGAAGAAGTAGGTAATAAAGTCGATGTACTTGCAGAAGGTGTTCAATATGGGCCTCCAAGAGTTGTTTATCATCTCGAATAAAACAAGGTTTCTAGGTTGAGTAGAGGTCATGAAGTATTAGATATTGGGTAGGACTCAAAATAATTTGGGGGAAGGACACAATTCAGTCCATAACAGTGGTTATCTTTGTCAATTCTGAAAATATTCTTTGAAAATCTCAATTCTAATAACTGTAACATTTGTTGCTCAGATAAGCCACGCTTTATTTAACCATTACCTTTTTGTTGGATATTTACTTATTTAACTTTTCCAGCTTTATAAATAATAGGTCTATGAATATTCTTACACAAAAAATATTTTGTGTATTTCTGAGTCTCTACTTAATTTACAATTCTAAAAATAGAAATAGTATGAGCATGGATATTTTAAGAATGTTGATATTTATTGCCTAATTTGTCCCATAAATATCATAGCAATTAATATTTAAACTATTTAAAATCTGGTAGGCAAAATATTGAGACTCATTTTTGCTTTAATGGGAATTTTTTTGCTTATAAGGAGGTTTAATATTTTTTATGTTATTGTTCTTTTTTTGTACTGACTACTTAATAACTCTGTTCATTATTGTAGAGGTATATTAGTCTTCCCCTTGCTCATTTGTAGAAGAAAGCTTCAATATATACCTCTTTCATATATAAAGCTTATTTTAATTGTCATGCTTGGATATACATATAAAATCAAATATTAACTTACTAAAAATATATATATAGGTTAATCTTTTCATCAATGAACTTACAGTCACTGAAAATCCAAACTCTATTTCAAAGGAAATATTTTACAGGAAATATTTAGAATTTTACATTCTGATGGGAAATATAATTCTAGTTTCCCAGCTGCTGCAGAAGAAGGCTTATACATCAATGAAAGTTAATTATAAGTTTTCTCTGACATAGAAAGGTGAAGTGACTTTCCAGTGTCATAAAACTAGAGAGTAGCAGAAGTGGGAATAGAATTCAGGTCTACTGAATCCCAGTGCAATACTTTAGTGAGTAGACAACTGTAATTTGTTGTGAAATAATAATTGGTAATTACTTTGTGTATTCCTTTCATGTGAGACCTGAGAATGCTCAGAAGTTCATAAAGGTGTTTAACCTAATGGCCAGCAATGCCTTATAAGAGGAATTTCCCTTAATATTATGTAAAATACAAATATTAAGTTTGATAATTTTGGTAACTACTCTGATGGAATTCTCTAATGACAGGTGTTGATTTTCTGCCTAGTGTTGGTGATGAGCGTGTGCAGGGTCTCTCCAGCAAAGATGAAGAATGCAAACATTTACTGTGTTTCTCCTATATGTCAGAGATTTATCATTAGTGTCTAATTCATTCTCCATAAAATTTCAAGCAGTGAGTTTTATAGACTAGTTACTGAAGCTGAGATTGGCCCAAAGTCAAGCAGATCAAATAAGAGAGCCAAACTTTGAACTCAGATCAAAACCTAAAGATCCCACACTTTCCGTTAGTCTACAGTCTGTTCACACTACAACAGAGTATACAGTAGTTTATTTTCTATTCTAAATAGCAACTGAATTAGGGAGAGACAGAAACTCAGATGGTATGATGGATTTTGTGGAATACATTTTTAAAATAGCATCATTAGATTAGAAGTGGGGATGAAAGGAAGTAATATTTATTGAGGGTATACATGGCATCATTTAACCCTCACATTGGCGTCTTTATTGTAGCTATTTTATCACTGGGAACACTGAATTTTAGAGAGGTTAAATAAATTGTCCAATATCACAAAGTTAGTTAGTGGTAGAGGCATGATTGAAAGGACATGTGTCTGACTCCCACAGTTTAAGAACTTTCCTCAACTCTTCGATTTATCCTCTACTGGCAGGATAGTTATTAAAAGAGATGTTTAGAAGGTTGTTAAATACTACTTCTGATTAATACATACATGATTTTACCTAGTCATCATTACTACTATTGTTCAATTGGCAAAATAGTCTTATTTTTATATTTAGAAAATGTATTTATTAACAGATAATCAGTGCTAAGTGCACACGAGCAACTATAATTAGTCCTTGATAAATCTTACAGACAAGTTTAACTATGGCTTTTTCCACATAACATTTAGGTTTTATTTCTTTTAAATATTTTGGTTAGTGATATTTGCTATAATAGGAGCCCTTTAATATCAGTATACATAAGACTTATCTGAAAAAAATGCATATACCATTGCTTCAACCCACATATTTGGATTAAATATCTGTGGAAGATACTTCATAATTTTTAACTATCCCCAAAATAATACACATAGTTGTATTCTGAAAAACAAACACTAAAAACAATTCATACATTAGTCTAAATTTTAGAATTCCTGAGGAGTTTTCAGTGGAAAATCATCCCATTTTAAAGAAGTGATTCTCAAACTTTGGTGTATATCAGGATCACAGAATCACCAGTTTTGTTCAATGTATACTTGTTAGGCTTCTGGAGATGCCTATTCAAAAGGTTCTGCAAATGTTCATGAGTGACTTAGGCATTGTGGTTGATGACACACTCACCAGGCTATTTTGTAGTTCCACCAAAATTGGGAAAATATTGTTGTAGAATTTATATGGATTAAAACATTACTTGTGAGTGCAATGCCTAGGAGTCTTAATATACTTCCACTGACTGGTGGTAGAAAGAATTGTACATTATATTCTGCCTGGTCACATCTGGTTGATGATACTTGAAATCCTTTAAATGTGAAAATTTTATATACTGACAGAATGAGGAGTTTTAAATACTATGTACTCTTTAGGGACTTAACTACCATATGTTAGTGGGATTTACATATTCATTTTCTTAAGTAGACCCTGTATTTTTACCTTGAGGGCTTCAAGCCCCACCTTCCCAGAATTGTAGAATAGTTAACTGAGGTACTCATCACTAACTTCAACTTTATATGTCACCATTTTTGCCAACATTAGGTGAGTTTGAAACAAAATTATGAGTTTAATATATAATACTTAATAAAGAGTCTAAAGGTCCTTTTTCTGGATTGAATCAGAACACCACAGTTCATAATACAAAGATGGCGTACTTTTAAAGCATCATAGAATACTTTTTTGTTGAATTTCAAATATAGGTTATGCAGTAGGGCCACATTGAGAAACATTACCAGAAACATCACCAAATAACTCATTGCTGACTTTCATTTGCTTTAAGTATGGTGATGGCCATATTGTCCACAGAACAAAGTGATGCTGTTATAAAGAAATACAGGGACCTTTTTTCTAAGTAATAGAGTCAAGAATACTTATTATTGACACATAGTTTGTTCTGTGAACTCTGGAAATCGTATAAGTGATTAGATTTTCCATTTTGGCTTAGCTTCTATAAAGCTCAGAGTGGGAGTCACGCCCCACTTTCCAGTAGGAAATTAAGCACCCCAATCTCTCTCCTAGCTTTTTCTTCCTTTTTCTAGTCTTATTTTCCTTCTTATTCTTTTAAATTCATTTCAGATACAAAATGAGACTTCTTGTAATGTTCATAATTTATAAACCATCATAAATCATATACTGTGATATGATCAGGTAAAAGTAAATGAAGCATACAAATAACTAATAAAGTATTTTCTAATTAAACTAGCAATGTTTAAAAAGATTTTTAGTTGTTTCACACTAATTTCAATGCTACTGTTTTGCAAAACAATATATGCCCCTTTGTAAAGGTCCCTTTTTAAATCCTTGCTTCAATACAGTTATCAATATGCTCTTCCTAACGTGAATATATATATTTAAAATGTGGCTTCACTTTCTTCATCCCTTATAATTTTATAATATTAAAGAATATTTTCATCAGTTTTTTACCTGCTATCAAAGAAATAACAAGGTCTCACTCTTAAAAATATTGGGATCAGATTTTTTAAATGTTCATTATAATTAAGAATAGCTTCTTTTTCTAGACTCTAATAAAACGTACTCGATAAATAACTTATAGCTACTCTTTTCATTGCTTACTTCAGGAAACTGTGATGGGTTCCTCAGTTTAGCAGGATGACTGCTATATTTTCGTAAGCATATACATATTTCCTGGATATTACCAGACCAGGATTCTCCCCTAGGGGAGTGGGGTGAGGGTTAACTTTAAATAACTTTAACATCGGAGAAAATTCATTAAGGAAGCTATAATGTGTAGGTGCATGCCATAATAATTAAGTATTTGCATAGTTGACTGCAGCCCTTATTAAGCAATGCGCCAAATGGCAATGTGTTTTACATAATGGATGTGGGAGAACAAGTCACACACACCAGAGTAATGGAACACATTAATAAAAGTTTGCACAGTGTGTGTCCTTCATGCAGGCTGTGGTGACAAATATCTATGCCTTTACAAACTACATGACATTATGTTGTTTAGTCCTCTGGGACTTGCCTGCAAATTTGCTGTCTATCATTTATTTTCTGCCACAGTGTGTATGCCTTGAGTGATCTCAACGGAAGGTCACAGCCAGTGAAGTTTCCACACCAAACATTTTTTTCCCTGTCTGGGGCTTCGAGTGGTTTGCTTTTAAGGTTTATTGTATTTCTTTTTAGTGAATGTCCCAAGAAGCCACAGAGTAGATCTTTGGACCCAGGTCTTTCATCAATGTATTTGCTCTATTTGCTCCTGTGGTTCTCCCAGTTGCCATTTCTATAAATAACTGCTGAAACATTTGCAGTAACACTTTCATTGTCTTTAACCTAATCTTGTGTTACTTTTAAAATTCTTATAAAAAATAAGGTTTTCTCAGTCTTCCTGCTTTGATGCCTATTGGCTACAAGCAGATGGGCAGTGGTCCTATGACACACCTATTAAAACTGCATCCCTGTCCCCATCAAAGTTCTCCTCACTCAGGATCAGCCATCAAAGTAGAGGCTGGTGACTGATAGTTAAATAGCATATCACCAGAGATCAGGATATAGTGTTCTCACTACATAAAATAACTTGCCTGTTTTAAGCTGAACAAGCACAGCAAATTATCTTTTTCTTCCATTTTTAGTTCCAAGCCAGTGTTTAACAATAGACCTTTACAAAGGGACATATTAAAACATCACCCCATCATCTCTGGTCATAGTTGTACGATGGTGAAATTGAAAGAGTGCACATGCCATGCCTGTTCCAGAAGAGACAAACCTGTAATCTTGTCTAAGGCACTCAATCACAGCTCTGTGATGGGGTAGTGGACATCAACACAGGGGCTGCTCCAAGCAACCCTAAGGCGCAAACACCTGGATAGTCTTTTATCCTCTGCCTCATCATTTCCAGGGTGGTATTTTTAGCTCTTCACAAAGCTGGCATGCTGGGCATCTGTCCCTCCCACTTCACTATCTCTTGGCCTGTCTCATTTTGTGGTGGGTGGGCACTGGCTAACAGCTGAATAGCAACCTAGCTCCACACAGATGTCTGCACTGTTTCTCTACCTCTTATGTAAATATTCTGAGCTTGGCTAGAGCTAGAATCAGAGCAGAGGACAGAACAGAGAAATTTGCTCCTGTTTGAGCTGGATTTCAAGTCTGTTGTGTATGATACTTATTTAAATTGGAAAAAGTATAGAAGTCATAAACATATATGTGATAAAGCCCTATTACTTACAGTGTCTTTGAGGCTATTCTTTGTGAGCACAGAGAGCCAGTGCTACCTTTCGCTAGGCTACCAAACTGCGTAGAAAGTAACAATTTCTAAATTATACCAAAACCAATTATGAAATGTTAATTCTAAATTAAAGGGATTTGTTATTGGATTTTAAAAAAATGGTTTCTACCTTCTGACAATTTTTTTATTCATCCTATTCAAGAAATGCAACTCTCAATCATGATTTATTTTCAACATTGTTGTTAATATAGGTGCCTAGTTCATGTCTAAGTCAACCAATTGTGAAACCACATTTTAAGCTGTTCTCTGCAAACTATCAAACTACCGTCAACTTGTTTTTGTGAATAGAATTCTTGCTAATTAGCATGCTTATTTCTTATGTAGTTTTTTAAAAAAGGAAATCTAATATTTAAAATATGTTGTCTATTTATTCTTCTCATTACCAATTGAAAATGATTGCTTTGTTGGGTTTGCCTTTCATAAAGATACATATATTTTCCCCAATATGCTATGACCTAGGTAACTTGTAAAGACTTTACTATTTTGATAACCAATGTATTAATTTATTTTCTAACTCAGTATAAATCTGGGACTTTTTAATCCCATGGCTTACTGTGCCTGTCTGGGGCTGGTTTTCTCCCAGATTCATTGCCGGTACTTCCTCTCCTCTGATCTGTATTGCAGAAGGCTGAGCCCTGCAAACTAATGTCTCATAATCCCTTACCACGTCGTTTTCATTTGAGTTTGGGCAACGAGAAGAATTGAAGGGAGATAGACAGGAGGAAGAAGGGGAGAAGCCCCCTCTCTTCTTGCTTTTGGCACTTGTCTCTGAGAGTAGCTTAGTTTCTGCTGTAAAGTGAGCTTTTGTCCAGCAGTCTTTCCTGCTGAGGTGCCAGCTCCCACCAGGAAGAACGTGTTGTGGTTCCAAGTCTTGCCTGGTGGCCCCAACTCCTAGCACATACTTAAACCACTGCTTCTCGTGGTTCCTGAGGTTGGTAGTAGCTTCCTGCTGCTCTTTATATCTGATTTGCCTTGCTATTCTGATTTGCCTTGCTATTCCATTTGCCTTTTAGCTCAACCAATATCTTTTTAACAAATTTCATTGCATGGACATGGGATTGCTCTTCAAGAGAACATGCTGTGGGGAGTATTAATTGACTGACAAGTTCAAGTTGCTGCATCTTTGGACACACTATAGCGTTCATACCGTGGCTATACTTATCTCAAGCTGCTCTCAGTCAATGGAGTTATTAGAATCAGGCTATTTTTGCATAATACAGAATTCCTCTAATGGTCAAACTTTGCTTTTTGGGCTCTTTACTGACCTATCCCAGACTTTTCCAGAAGTTTGCTGTAATCTGACATTTCCTACCCAAGCCTCCTTTTCTCCTTCTCTCCTCTCATAGTTGTAGGCCGGCTTTATGTTCTCTCCCCCTACTTCTTCTGTTCTTTTCTCTTTTTCCTTCACAGGCATTTTCCCCAATCAACCTTTTGCAGATCAAATCCCACATTGGCATCTGTTTCTTGGAGGACCCCAAATGGCACAACCTTCAGAAGAATTCTTCTTTATTGAACAACTTAGCTTGGATTCTGTTTCCCTGGCTGGACTTTAAAGTATCACATATCCAGAAAATGTAATGCTAACATATGTTGTAGGTCCTTTGTTAAAAATGTTATGTTATACAAAAGAATTTCCTTTTGGCCCATCATTTCATCTTCAGACAATATCAATCTCTGTCATTTTTGTAGCCATCTGAGGAAACAGGATGAATCCTCCACTCAAAATTTGGTTTCGATGTCGAAACTGATAATGCTACATAAACTTCAAGAGACTAGGAGCTATCTGAGGAGAGCAGCGAAGGCCTGCCAGGCAGGTCCAAAGTGGCTTTAAGAGAGTAAGAAAAAGAGAGCAGCTAGGGGTTTTTATTGTGATTAGGGGCTGGGTCTGAGGCAAGCGTTCCATGCATAGACAGGAACTTGTGTAGGATTTGAATCTCCCGCCAGCATCAAAGGAAAGAGCACATGGGCTTTTTATCAGCCCACATGTGGGCGACAAGGCGAAGAAGGAGGGATAAGGCTTAAAAGCTCTCAGTAGCCAAAGGTCAAAAAATAGTCTGATGTCAGTGTCTTTATTATACTCATATATCGTAGAATTTCAATGGTGAAAAAATGTACTTTTCTTGACTGTAGAACTTCTGAGCCCTTAGCATTAAAATGATTATTGTGAATTTGCCAGAAAGAGAATATAGAATCTTTCAAATGGACTTGTTCATAGGACCTTATTTTTAGATAATCTTTAGGGGATATTGCCACATAAAACATCCTATGGGGGAACATGTATGTAATTTTTAAACGCAGATGTTAATCACCTTTAAAGTTTTTTGTTTTTTTAACTTCTTTTCTAGTTAAGACATAGAAGGCTAAATTGTGGCTTACTTCAATTAAGAAAGCAAGGAATTCTTGTTGAATTGATTTTAGATGACAGTGTGGGAGATGACTGAGGCTTTAAAAGGATGGAATGTGGTCAGTTCAAAAGGAAAGCAATAGGATTATTAAATTCCAAGTGTCTTAAATGGGCCCCAGGATATATGATGGAATTCTCTGTGACAACATACTTTTTCTGGCCCTAAAACCTTTTGATTAAAGCTCGAAACCTGGTTATTATCCAGACAAATCATTCATTTTCAGTCTTGAGCTTTATACTTTGATGAAAGAAGTGCTATTTTATATTTTCCATGGGAAAACTTTGTTCTTAACAAAGTTAAGATTTGATTTGATTAATTTCTATATTACCATAATATGAAAACAGATTTTAACATTGATTTTTACTAAGTGGAAATAAATCAATTTTATTATGTGTGTCTTTTAGGTAATGTGCTTTTTTTTTGTTTCTTTTTCTTACTCCTTTGAAAGCTCGTTATGAATTCAGATTAAATGCATTAGAGCCTTTAGTTTCCTGAAGTAGATCTAGATAATAACCTATCACTTTCATTCCTAATCCGCTTTTTGATTTCTTGTGATTTCCTTATCTTCATATGTCTAAATTGAATTTTATCAATAGATCTATTAGAAGCTAAACATCTGACATTTATTTATCTTTAATTTTTAGAAGTTGTTGAACCAGCACATCACTAAGGCTGTTTGATTTGAAGATCAGAACACACCGAACACTGTGCTAAATAGCTGGGTGATTATAACGAATCAACAATCAAAATTTATGTTAAGCAAAAGTTCATGGTCATTAAAATGGGCATGCAAATAAAAGGCAAACAATGATTTATCTAGCAAATAATTTATTGTTCCATAAAATTTTCCCATTTTGTTCATTTAGAAGTCACATACAGATAAAATGTCATTCAATTATTCAATTAATTATTTATAAGTGAAAACAGATGGAATAATCTTGTATTGAAAACATTGGGGACAGAATATTCATTCACTCCGTATGTACTGAATTCCTACTATGTACAAGGCATCATGTCAAGTGACTGTGGATATACATGTTATAAATAAGAGCTACCCCTGATGACCCTGGCATTTTTCCAATGGAATTCCCTGAAACAGACCATCTGCTTAGGTCTCTTGCTATGGTTTTGGGTTCCTAAGACTACATTCTTTCTAACTCTCCAAATGACTCTCATGCTCCTAGGTTGACTACCTTGTTATGCCATATCTTTTGCTCAGTAGTTGGGTGTCCTCCCATCAACATCAGCTACAATCTGTTGAAACATTTTTAAAGCAAATAGTACAGCTATATTCCTCAAAAATGATAATTTATTTTTAATCAATAAAACACAGTACCTTCCTCATTTCATGATGGTTAGGTAACCCTTAGTGTCTGAGCTCAGGCAATTTACCAGTTGCCTAAGGGCCTCATTAATTAAGTGGATCAGTGAACCTATAAGGGGGTCATGGAGTAGAGCAAACACTGCACCACAAGAATCACAAGGGGAAATAATATGATCTCATCTGATTCAATTTCATTACAGACTAGGGATAATATCTGACCACGGTACTTCAAAAGGTGATTGCAAGGATCAAATGAGGTAATGTTTATGAAAATTATTTGAGAAATTATAGGATAAGAGTGATGTTTAATGTGAGATTGTAATGTGCTGGGCATCTTCCCAAATTGGGATCTCAACCAATTCTTATAACAAACTTGTGAAGTAGGTGACCGAGGTAGAAACTCTCATGTAGCTTACACTTTGTGCAGCGGGGTTGCAACCTCAATGTTCTCATATTATTGGATTACAGTTTTCTTGGAATTTAGTAGCAGGACCTTTAAATAGCATCTTATAACTTTGTGCTAGACATGTTTTTATTTCTATGTTTCCTATTGACTTTCATTATGGAGGATATGAAGTGAGGATATTTAACTTGTCAAGAATATTTCTTTGTCAGTCTGGTTTAAAGGTGCAATGAGCAAGGAATACTGTTAGTAAAGAAACAGTGATTGAGAATAAAGCTACTAAATGGCACTCACATCAATTCAAATTGATTCTTTTTCTTTGAAATGTCAATTATAAAATACAAATAAAATATGATGGCATGATGTACGAGAAGCAGTTTTCCCTTCTCGAAGAATCTAATTATTATTATTATCTTTAATGGGGATATTTCAAAAGGGAGACTTATTTTCTGACTGCCAACCTGCAGGTAGAAGGGGTATTGCCACATTAAAAAACATTTTTTTGGTCAATACTGTTGAATAGGGTAGGATAGATTTCTTCAGTTGTTTCAGAAGAAGATAATTGATATCTTGGGTAATACACAATACAGTCTTGTACAATATTTAAACAATGACTTGTGCCTTTATGAGTTTCTGTATCTAAATTGATTTATTTGGAAATTATGTCACGTTATGGCATCTTGTCTTGCCTTGATGACATTTGATTCTTTGCCCAGTCCTTCTCTCCCAACTCTGCTGAGGAGGAGCCAAGAGAGTTATTGACACTATGCTTTACATAAAGCATAAATGGGAAGAGGGAAAACAGAAAGCTCCTTTAGGAAGCACATGCTTCTCTAAATGCTGTAAAACAATATAGGACTGGAAAAAATGTGCAGAAACAGACATACAGCAAATAAAATATAAATAGAATAAATGAGTGATGAAGAAATTGAACAGGAAGCCTACAGTAACCAAGTGGATTAAAGGCATCAAATCTACCTCTATTTCTTTTGGAATATATGTCCCAACTGACTGTGTGGTTCACCTTGGCTCCCTCTGCGTCTATGGAAGATAATAGTTAAAATAGGAGCATTTTATCAAGTTATAGGAAAAAGGGCCATGGATAGATGAGTGGATTTATAACAAGAAGGTTAAAGGGTAAAAGTGGAGTAAAGAATGCAATAGGATATAGGAAAGAAGAACTTGGAAAGAGTTATAAATACATAACTTAGTAATCATACTTTTATTTGATCAATGCCCATCATTTAATAAAAATATCTTCTATGTATCCTACTATTTTTCCCTGGTAGTGGGCAAAATCCGTGTGCAGTAGTTTGTGACTATAAATTTCTGTTACACTGAGACTAAAGTAAATTGCAGATTCTTTAAAAAAGTTTTCCTATATCACACAGTGCTTTAAAAGGCAGGTTTCAAGCATAAATTTATTTCAGTTTCTAAGGCCTGTATTTGGTGATGATATTATTGATCCGAGTGTCTGAATAGTGGGTAGCCATTGAACAACAGTAAGAGGCAATAGTAAAAGGCAAATAGTTCTGGATTTTAAAGGGAAAAAGGAAAGCTTCTAATAAAAGCCAACATCATTGTCACCTAAAATAACCAAATATGAAAAATAACTAAAAATATAAGTACTTTTAAAAGAGGAGATTCAGATATAATTATTATTCTCAGACAACACAAAAGATGTAGATTGTTACCTCTCAGTGTCTGGTGAGGATGAACAGTGATGATATAAGTGCAAGTGCTTTGTAAACTAAACTGCCACATCAGTAAAAGGCATTTCTATTGTGTGTGAACACATTGAGTCATGTTGTCAAATGAGATTGGTCTCTCTCTTTTATAGATAGGGAAAAATGACCAGATTGAATTAACACAGGCATGAAGACAGAAAAATTCCTCTGCCTTAACAAATAAAGACTGAAATCATATCTGAAAGCTTTTCTTCCATGCAAATAACCAATGGGGGCTGGGTTTGGCAGGAAGCTCAGAGGCAGGAAGCATATTAGCTTTGTGCCAAGGACCTTGAACACCCTTCTTTAACTTGTCTATAAGTCTGTCTTTGCAGAAACAGATGCCTGTACAACTGAGAATCCTTCAGCTAATTGAAGCACAAAATTCTTGGAGGTGGAAAGATGGTGGTGATGGTGGTAGTACTGGTAGGATTTTCTATCTGTCAGAAAAGTATAAAATAGACTAAGACAAAATATGTTCATGTTTGAATAATTTGGGGATTATTTAGTTTGGCCGTGCATGATTCAAAACAAGAAATATTTTTTGACTAATTTTCAGCAGAGAAAGCATAAAATGCTAAATTCTGGTATTTCTCTTTGTCCAAGAATATATTCATGTCACATATAAAAACACTGTGTAATTCTAAACCGCTATGCAAACCTAAGGTATAATCTCACTTTATAATTTGTGAAAGTTTACTAATTGTTTTACTTTTCTTGGCAGAGTGTCTGAAGATCTACTGGAAAGTTATAAGTGTATTTATTTTATTTTCAGGGGTGTCATCACACTTTGAGCTGCTGTGACAGTTTACTGCTGGAATAACTCCATCCCAAAATTATTACTGTAAATTGAAGTCCTATTTTTCTGCCCCAAGTGTATTCTTAATATTAACAGTTGGTAATTAGTCTGTCCTTTGGAGAGACTCTGAACAGTTTTGAAGAGCATCCTGCACGTTTAATCAGAACACTTCAAGCCAGACAATGAAATGTAACATTCAGTAAACTGTGATAGTGTTCACTAATTGCTGATGCTATCTCTATTGTGTTACGTTTAAGTTATATTCTTTAATATTTTAAGAATCCTTTTATTTATTTATTTATTTATTTATATTTTGCTGTAATTCTTTTTAAAAACTACAAGACATTTATAGATGCAAAAGTAAAGAGTAAGTTAATAGAACACTGTTCTGTTTTAGAGATCAATATATATGAAATGTTTCTCTTGGAAACTGCTAAACCAACAGGTCATTTATTATTATAATATTCACTTGCCTTTCCTCATTTGGATGATGTAAAAATGATCATTATTTTGCTACTTTATGCCAATCTGGGTAACTGCATTCCATATTTAGAGAGCATGTTTTGGATTTAAGCAGCTTAAACTACTAGAATTATCATTACACAATGGTGTTGCACTTTTAAACATCTTCATTTTATTTTATTTAAAACATTTAGATCTACAAGCATCTTTATTTAATGTTCCCTTACAGTTTCCTTTTCATGCTGCCATGAATCTTAGGAAGAACATGTATACTTGCAAAGTTTCATTAAATTATTTTACACTATTGAAGAAGATTGTCTTTATAATTCATTACATTTTTGTTTGGGAGTTACCCTTCCAAAACAATGCTACACACAACAAAGTAAACTAAAGTACTGTAAATATTTTTTTGTTATGTTCAAAATTACATTCTGTTTCAGAATTTTAATAAAATAAATTTTATTAAAAATAAAATTTAGAGTTGGGTATATTATTTTTCTTATTTTTGTGTGTGTAAAACATAAGCTAGATTTTAGTAGAATTTTGCATTTTTTACTAGGAATTTTCATTTACCTGGAGGCACTGTATTTGTGTCGGACAATTTCCATCTCTCTCCCTCCCTCCCTCCTTTTCTCCCTCCCTCCCTTCCTTCCTTCCTTCTTTCCTTCCTTCCTTCCTTTCTCTTTCTTTCCATTTTGTAGCTATTTTAAATGCTCATCAGTCACAAAATTGATAAGATTTTATCAAAATGAGATCTTTTGGGTCATTTCAGTACCTTTCTTTTTAAACATAATTATGGTTATAAATATACAAGATACTTAGAAAATTATCTCAATAAAATTGATCCAAATAATTAAAATGCATACCTGGCTGGAACCTTAATAGGTCACTCGAATTCATATATCTGTGCTCACAAGATTGAGAATATAGTTTATTTAGAATAATAGAACTAATAAAATAGACTCTTCTCTGAGATCTTTTTAGAGAACTGCAAAGGATTTTGCTAAATCAACCCAGTAAACTTACAAATGAAGAAATTATCAAACTCTTGACTAGAAATTACTGTTATTCATGTATATATTACCAAAACAGATTTTATTGGAGGCAAAAAGAACATACGGCCTGTAGTTAATATAAATTTTACATACACTGTTTCATTTATGCCTAACCATTTTAATAGTAATTTATTTGGGTAGTAGTTAATATCTCTTGGACATAAGCCAGAGAGAAAGTGATTATGATAATACATTCTGCTACTAAATAGGCTGAATACTTCCAAGCTTCCAATAATACAGCTGTTAACGACAGTGGCTTTGCTAGTTAATCAGATGTTTTGCCACTGGGGATTGCCCATGTGAATGGAATCTGACAGAGGCTTCTGCTTCACCTCAAATGTAATGATACAAGTGTGTCAGTTATTAGGGACTCCAGGAAAAATGCACATGGCATTCACCCTCAAGCAACTAGAGCTCCTCTCCAAGTATCATTCCCATTTATAGCATGATAATAAATCATTCTTTAATTAAATAATGATTCAAAAAAGAATGCAAGTGCTTTGCATATTTAATAGCATATATTTTTCTTTTGTATATCTTTCATTTTGAGCTGCTAGAATTTTAATGTCTAGGGGCACAGACTATGCCATTTAAGAAACTCAGTTGATTTGTTAGTATTTCCCGGAAGAAGAGATGAAAAAACTCATTTGTAAGTAAAATGTGAACTATATTATCCATGTCTTCCTAGTCATAGTGCCATGAGGTGGAAAAAAATGGGTTTAAACCTACTTTAGATTATTTGAGCTATTTTATATTTTGGTTTACTTTTGTTTTAGTTTTTCTGATAATGTGTGTCCATTAATTAACTTGAGATATGCTTTAAATAAACGTGCGACCTTTTTATAAAGAGCAAGATTATGTTCTTGATGTGGTGTATCTGATGCATTGATTTTCTGCAGCAAGTTTCAAGTTTGTGGAATAAAAAAATGACAGAAGTTGCATATTGTGGGTTGGCACTAGAAACCCAATTCTCCAACTCTTTCAGTAAATTCAGTCAGCTGCCAGAATACTGGATTGATGAAGGAGTTGGGTCTTTGGGTTCAGATCTGTCCTAAGGATGAAGGGAACCATTTGAGGGTGAGCAGCACTTCGGGGTGGCAAAGCATTTGTAAAGCTTGTTAATTATAATTCATAGACATGAGAGCACCAATTAAGAATTTGTTAGCCACATGCAATAGAAGCAATTCTTTAACGATGCTTTTGAAAATCAACAAAATTAAACGTTGGTCTTTAAAAATTAATCTTAAATTCCTTTATTAATAATTATAAGGAATTAGCAAGTTCAACAGCTCAAACTTTAAAAGAAGCATGAAATGGGACCCAGAATAGTTGAAGGGAAATGATTTCTATGCTCTTAGGATATTATTGATGAGATAATGTATCTTAAAAATAGCTTTATAATAGTATACGGCAAATATCGTCTACAAGAATCTTTCTTTTTTCCATCAGTTAGATTGATTGCTGTTAGTGACCTATTAGTCTCCCCTGGGTCTGCATCATTCAGACTAAGCTTTATGCAGACATAACTAGGTCACCTTAATTACCTGTGGAAATAAGGCATACTTGTGAAAGTTTCACAGTGATAATTACTCCAAAATGCCAAAATAGTGTATGCAAACCTTGGAGGTACATGCTGGAAAGTATTGCACAACCAAGATCAGTCAAACCAGATGGTTCATTTTGTCTGATTCTCTAACATTCTTTAACACCATTTTTTACCATAATAAAAGTGCAATCTTTGCCAAGCATCGCACTGAGTATATACCTCATCAATCAGTTGTTAGAATTTGTTTTCTTTTCTTTAAATTCCTTTGAGGAATTTAAGAAATCAACAGACTATTGTAAAGAAACAAAGGAAAGCTAATCACATGTTTTGTTTTGTTAATCTAAAATGATAGCATGAAACTCTTTCTAATTGGCATGTTTTTTTCCTACAGACATTTCTGTACCTGTCATTTTGTCATAGAAATAAAGTGAGGAAGGTTAGAAAATATATGGTCTTTTTAAACAGTAAGGGAATCAAATGTTTTTGCATTTTCATGTGACTAGTCATAAAATAGCTAGCTATCTGTTCATAACAATTCCACTGAAGATTCAAAACTCTTGTAGAAGCCTAGTAAGTGATGGAACTTGATAAAGACCAAAATAAAACTATATTTGAGTAACATTAGCTGTTTTGAATTCTGAAAATTCCTTGAACGTTTTAATGAATTATTCTGATTAATGATTTCTAACATTGGAGATTATTATTTTTAACAAAATAAAATAAAAACTTTTTCATTATTCCACAAAAAATTAGTAATTGAGTATTTTTAAGTCAATCAACTTTATGCATTGAGGAGGTAGTTTTTATACTTGAATTAAAACACGGTTTTCTGAGTTTTAAGAAGTTAATGGAGTAAAATATGTAACATAAAATATTTACATATAATTGTAAGAAAAGTAAATTTCTGAATGAATTTTAATTTTTTTAACCTTTAAAGCGAGTAGATCTATAAGAAGGTCAATGTGCAAGTTTTTGTGGGGTTAAATGATGAAAACATATGGACACATAGAGAGGAACAACACACACTGGGGCCTTTCAGAGGGTGGAGGATAGGAGGAAGGAGAGGATCAGAAAAAATAACTAATGGCTACTAGACTTAACACCTGGGTGATGAAATAATCTGTAAAAACGAACCCCCATGGCACAAGTTTACCTATGTAACAAACCTGCACTTATACTCCTGATAAAAAGTTTAAAAAAATGAAATTTATCTTGCAATGAAAAAACTTTTTTAAGAAAGAGAACAGTAGTAATATTACGTATTAATCCACAGCATAAGCATTTGAAATTTGAGCCTTCTGGTATGAGATAGGAGACCACATAGTATTTCAACGATTTTTTGCCCTGTACTGAAGGGTTTTTATGCTGTTGCCCCCAAACCATTTTCCTGTTTTTCCTCTTCTTTTTTTCTAAGTTTACATTGGAAGTGATATAGCACACTTCTCATAAAAGAATATCTTAATATTAAGTGAGAATTACTGTTTTTTTGAGATAAGTCTGAAGGAAAGAAGATAATTTGGGTTCCGGATATGATATTTTTATATTTTACAAACCTTCTCACACTTCCCCAGGTTCAACAAAGTGCTTCATATGTATATTCAGTGCTTCTTGAAATGCTGTTTTGGTATTATCTGAAAATCTGAACTGTACTTAGAGCTGAAGTGGCCTTATTAATTTATTTAATTTTACAATAGTTACCTATCTAGTAACTTCCTGAGGCCAAATTAGTAACTTATGTTGGTTTCTAGGCCTCTAATCTCAGGTGCCATCTTAAATGTGAATACTTGTTACAGAAAAGGTGGAGAACTGTGCTGAATATCATCATTTATTAAAAAAACATAATTGCCAACATTTATCAAGCACTTAGTATAAACTTTTTTCATTTAATCTTATGAAGTTCATACAATCATTGTCATCCTTTCACAAATTATGAACCTGACTCCCAGACAAGAAAGATGTCCAGGGTTTTCCAGTTGGGCTGGAATTTGGTCTCCAGTCTTGCTGATTCTAAGACCTATGAGCTTAGTCTCCAAAAACTCTGCCTGCTCAGCAACAGCATGAGGACAACCACCTTCTAGACACAGCTTCTAGACATCTGACTGCTAGGAAGCCTGGTAGAAGCTATTTTGGGCAAAGATTGTAAGAGATTAGATCTTTTTTATCATTCCATGTAGTATCTTTTTTCTTTTTTTGTTTTTGCTCCAGTGTTAGAAACCACAACAGGTCCTAACAGATGGTCCACTGAGATCAAGAAAGTCACCAGTTTTAAGGTTGCTAATGGGATTAATTTAGATCACACACTCATGGAAATCTCAGTCATTTTCTTGCTAGCTTCTCAATTTAGGTTCCAAAGCCAAGAATCGCTCAGGTGTATCATCTGAGACTGTGGAATGGCTCGATGGAGTGTGTTGCTGCACTTAAATCTAATTAAAGAGAACCATTTTAGTAATATGGTATGGTTATAGTACATTATGTGACTTTTTATATAGTAGATTTACTCATCAATTTCTTCCATTATACTATCGCCGTATATTTCTCCAGTGCTTTGATCTACGTTATCATATCCTGTGAGCAGCTCAGTAATATTATGAGGCAGTAATTTTTATCCCCATTTTAGAGATGAGGGCTTTAAAGATGAGAGTGTTGAATGTGATTTGTCCAAGGCAACTAGGAGGTGGAATGCTCTGAACTGGATCAAGTGCTTTATCTATTCTATCATGGTTGTTGTTACTCACTTGCAACTGGTAAAGTGTGATCAGTGTTTTTGTAGCCCTGGCCATATGTGAAAAAAATCTCAAACTCTAATCTAGACATATTGAATTATAATCTACAGTACTGTGATTTGGACATCTGTACTTTCTAAAAACTATACTACTCAAAATTGAGAACTTGTCTCCTAAATGATACTTCTCTTTTTTTGTTGTCTATTTTTTCCCATTTTTTATGGTGGTAAAAAAACACAAAACATTAAATTTCCTGTTTTAACCACTTTTTTTTATTATTATACTTTAAGTTCTAGTGTACATGTGCACAACTTGCAGGTTTGTTACATAGGTATACATGTGCCATGTTGGTTTGCTGCACCCATCAACTCTTCATTTACATTAGGTGTTTCTCCTAATGCTCTCCCTTCCCTAGCCCCCCACTCTCCAAAAGGCCCCTGTGTGTGATATGCCCTGCCCTGTGTCCACGTGTTCTCATTGTTCAATTCCCACCTGTGAATGAGAACATGTGGTTTTTGGTTTTCTGTCCTTGTGATAGTTTGCTGACAATGATGGTTTCCAACTTCATCCATGTCTCTGCAAAGAACATGAACTCATCCTTTTTTATGACTGTATAGTATTCCATGGTGTATATGTGCCACATTTTCTTAATCCAGTCTACCATTGATGGACATTTGGGTTGGTTCCAAGTCTTTGCTATTGTGAATAGTGCTACAATGAACATACGTGTGCATGTGTCTTTATAGTAGCATGATTTATAATCCTTTGGGTATATACCCAGTAATAGGACCACTGGGTCAAATGGTATTTCTACTTCTAGGTCCTTGAGGAATCGCCACACTGTCTTTCACATGGTTGAACTAATTTACATTCCCACCACCAATGTAAACATTTTCCTATTTCTCCACATCCTCTCCAGCATCTGTCGTTTCCTGACTTTTTAATGATCGCCATTCTAACTGACATGAGATGGTATCTCACTGTGGTTTTGATTTGCGTTTCTCTGATGACCAGTGATGATGAGCATTTTTTCATGTGTCTGTTGGCTGCATAAATGACTTCTTTGAGAAGTGTCTGTTCATATCCTTTGCCCACATTTTGAAGGCGTTGTTTATTTTTTCTTGTAAATTTGTTTAAGTTCTTTGTAGATTCTGGATATGAACCCTTTGTCAGATGGATAGATTTCAAAAATTTTCTCTCATTCTGTAGGTTGCCTGTTCACTCTGATGGTAGTTTCTTTCGCTGTGCAGAGGCTCTTTAGTTTAATTAGATCCTATTTGTCAATTTTGGCTTTTGTTGCCATTGCTTTTGGTGTTTTAGTCATGAAGTCTTTGCCCATGCCTATGTCCTGAATGGTATTGCCTTGGTTTTCTTCTAGGGTTTTATGGTTTTAGGTCTAATATTTAAGTCTTTAATCCATCTTGAATTAATTTTTGTATAAGGTGTAAGGAAGGGATCCAGTTTCAGCTTTCTACTTATGGCCAGCCAGTTTTCCCAGCACCATTTATTAAATAGGAAATCCTTTCCCCATTGCTTATTTTTGTCAGGTTTGTCAAAGATCAGATGGTTGTAGATGTGTGGTGTTATTTGTGAGGCCTCTGTTCTGTTCCATTGGTCTATATCTCTGCTTTGGTACCAGCACCATGCTGTTTTGGTTACTGTAGCCTTGTAGTATAGTTTGAAGTCAGGTAGCATGATGCCTCCAGCTTTCTTCTTTTGGCTTAGGATTGTCTTGGTGATGTGGGCTCTTTTTTGGTTCCATATGAACTATAAGGTAGTTTTGTCCAATTCTGTGAAGAAAGTCATTGGTAGCTTGATGGGGTTGGCATTGAATCTATAAATTACCTTGGGCATAAATCTATAATATACCTAGGAATCTATAAAATACCTTGGATTCCTAGGTATTTTATTCTCTTTGTAGCAGTTGTGAATGGGAGTTCACTCATGCTTTGGCTCTCTGTTTGTCTGTTATTGGTGTATAGGAATACTTGCGATTTTTGCACATTGATTTTGTATCCTGAGACTTTGCTGAAGTTGCTTATCAGCTTAAGGAGATTTTGGGCTGAGACAATGGGGTTTTCTAAGTACACAATCATGTCATCTGCAAACAGGGACAATTTGACTTCCTCTTTTTCTAATTGAATACCCTTTATTTCTTTATCTTGCCTGATTGCCCTGGCCAGAACTTCCAACACTGTGTTGAATAGAACTGGTGAGAGAGGTCATCCTTGTCTTGTGCTGTTTTTCAAAGGGAATGCTTCCAGTTTTTGCCCATTCAGTATGATACTGGCTGTGGGTTTGTCAAAAATAGCTCTTATTATTTTGAGATATGTTCCATCAATACCTAGTTCATTGAGAGTTTTTAGCATGAAGGGCTGTTGAATTTTGTTGAAGGCCTTTTCTGCATCTATTGAGATAACCATGTGGTTTTTATTGTGGTTCTGTTTAAGTGATGGATTACGTTTATTGATTTGCATATGTTGAGCCAAATAAACTAGAAAATCTAGAAGAAATGGATAAATTCCTGGACACATACACCTTCCCAAGACTAAACCACGAAGAAGTTGAATCTCTGAATTGACTAATAACAGGCTCTGAAATTGAGGCAATAATTAATAGCCTACCAACCAAAAACAGTCCAGGACCAGATGGATTCACAGCCAAATTCTATCAGAGGTACAAAGAGGAGCTGGTACCGTTCCTTCTGAAACTATTCCAATCAATAGAAAAAGAGGGAATTCTTCCTAACTCATTTTATGAGGCCAGCATTATCCTGATGTCTTAACTACTTTTAATTGTATAGTTTAGCAGTGTTAAGTATGTTGATATTGTTGTGTGACACATCTATAGAACTTTTTCATCTTACAAAACTGAAACTCTATACCCATGTAATAGTAATCCTTCCTCCTTGTTTCTATTATTTTAATTTGAAATAATTCCAAACTCACATAGGAAAGCTGCAACTATAGTTCTAAAATCTTTCCCTCCTTTAAAGTATTTGTAGGTAAATTGCAGTGTATTTTCTATAAACAAGGACGTTTTCCAGCATAACCCCAGCTTTGCCACTCAAGTGAAGAAATTAACATTGAAATGTTAGCACTATCAAATCCACAGACCGTGTTCAAGTTTCTCCAATTCTACTAATGTCTTTTATAGTCATAAGATCCAGTTGCATATCACATGTTGCATTTCTCATATTGCTTTCATTTCCCTCAGTTTGAAATAGTTCTTCAATATTTCTTTGATGTTTAAGAGCTTGGCTTTTACAAAGATGGTTATAGCCCAGTTATTTCTCAGAATTTTCCTCAAATTTCTGTCTATCTATTATTTCCTCAACGTATTAGTTTGCTTTCACACTGCTGATAAAGACATACCCAAGACTTGGAAGAAAAAGAGGTTTAATGGACTTATAGCTTCACATGGCTGGGGAGGCCTCACAATCATGGCAGAAGGCAAGGAGGAGTAAGTCACATCTTACATGGATGGCAGCAGGCAAAAAAAGAGAGCTTGTGCAGGGAAACTCCCATTTTTAAAACTGTCAGATCTCATGACACTTATTCACTATCATGAGAAGAGCATGGGAAAGACCTGCCCCATGATTCAGTTATCTCCCACCGGGTCCTTCCCACAACATGTGGGAATTACGGAAGCTACAAAATGAGATTTGGATGGGAACACAGAGTCAAACCATATCACTCAACTTAGAATTAGGTTATACACTGCAAGAAAACTGTAGAAGTGACGCTATGTTCTTCTTGATGAATCCTGTCCAATGGTACATAATGTCAATTTGTCCCACTATTGGTGATACTAACTTTGATCACAAAATTAAGGTGGCATTTGCTATCTTCTTCCACTCCAGAGGTATACTTCATTTTTTACTTTGTAATTAATATTTTCTAGGGAGATATTTTGAGATTATACATATATGTCATTTTCCTCAATCTTTTACACACTACTTTTTACTATCCATTGATATTTGTTGGCTAAAATTAATATGACTATGGGTTGACAAATGGTGATTTTATAACTTTGTATTTAATTGTACTTACATGAGTTTCAACTCTACTATAAAGGAACAATTTCTCTCTTTTCCATTTGTTTATTTATATCTTTGTGGATTCATGAATCCCTGTTTTATTCAATGGCTTACAATCTTCTAGTTTAATTATTTATTTTAATATTATAAATTGTCCCAATTTGGCAGCAAGAAACTTCTTCAAACTGGCTTCTGAATCCTTGTGACATATCACATCAGTTTTGAGTTCTTCATTCCTATTTACACAAGGATACACTCCAGAGTAATTCTAATTTCCTGCCCTGGCCTTTTAATAAGCAATTTTTATAGGAAGCTCTGTACTTTTTTCATGAAGAACATATTCGGAAATGAAGATCTAAGCTTTGAGAAAGTAGTGGGTCACTGCTTCAGGCCATCTCAGTGGACACCTATTTATATCTATATTTCATTTATGTTTCTTCATATACATGTTGAAAATCAAGTGTTTTTACCCATATTTCCAAGTGAAATCTACCACTGTAGTATTTATTCTAGTTTTCTTCCATCTCTAAATGCAGTTCTCCTTTTTTGAACAGTAACAAACTTCTTTTAGCTGATATACTTTTTACATATGCCCATAACTCATCTTTTGTTATCAGTGCTGCCTCCGCCACTCCCACATTGTCAGCTCTCCTTGAACTCCAATACCCTTAGCTTCACCCCTACTCTTTCTTCGCCACATTAATTTCCACCTTGTTTGGCTCACTATAATGGCTTTTGGACTAAACTTTTCTAGAAGGAAAGGAAGGAAGAAACAAAGAAGAGAGTTAAAAAAAAAAAAAAAGGAAGGTACAAAGGAGGGATAGAAGGAAGAAAAGAAATTAAAAGATAGCCTGTTTATTTTTATTTTTTTGAGATGGAGTCTCACTCTGTCACCCAGGCCAGAGTGCAGTGGCACGACCTCGGCTAACTGCAACCTCCACCTCCCAGGTTCAAGTGATTCTCCTGTCTCAGCCTCCTGAGTAGCTTGGATTACAGGTGCCGCCACCATGCCTGGCTAATTTCTGTATTTTTAGTAGAGATGGGGTTTCACCACATTGGCCAGGCTGGTCTTAAACTCCTGACCTGAGGTGATCCGCCTGCCTTGGCCTCCTGAAGTGCCGGGACCACAGGCGAGAGCCATAGCACCTGGCCAAAGATAGACATTTTAAGAGTAGGATTTATTTTTTAATACACACCATGTCTAACACAGTGACTTAAAAGTACTAGTTCATCAATAATATCAAGTGAATGCCAAAAGAATGAAGAAATGAATAAAAACCTTCATTGAATCCTGAAAATCATTTTACTAATATTAATATTGTCCAAAATGTGGTGACAACTTGAAATTTAAGACAAATTATTTATTTACACTACTAAGTCAGAAACTTGCCAGTAACAATTAGAATTTAAAATTTGAAAAATGGAGGCAAGTTTGCTGAAAGAAAGAACACAACTGATGGTAAGTATAAAGTTACATAAATGTGTTTAATCATGTATTTATTTGACAGGAGATTCTGAGTCCATTCTTTTTTCTCTTTTCTTCCCTTACCATTTGGCTGAACTGAATAATAATAACCTTGGTCTCACAGTATACTTTTGGAGATAAATAGGTCAGATGTTTGAGTTTTATTCTTTACTTAGGGATTATATGAGGTTGTAATATTTTAATATTTATTTATTCACCTGCAAAAAAAGTATTTTTTTTACTATTTGTGGAAATTAATGAGAAGTAGTTTAGTATTTTGAAGTGCTTCCAAGTACAAAATGTTTCACTCTAGAGTTCAACGATCTTTGTATCAAGCCATTAAAATTATCAATTATTATTATTATTTAGTTTGTTAGACTCTTTAGTCACTTTTTAAGTGTACAGATTTAGTGTATTAGATTTAGTGGGCAGTTTTCAGCATTTTTACCAACTGCATTTCTATTCAGTTGCACCTTTACTCCAACGACTTCTTATTTGACCCAAGAAAGTGAAATCACTTTCATGAGTTTATTTGCCACCAAATTCCTCAAAATGATTTTTGATGTCTACATCTCTTGCTTACATTTTACTTTGGAGGTTGCAAGATCAACATAACCTGAGTTTGGAAAATATTTAACAAAATTCAAAAGAGGAAAAAAAATCACTTCTATTAAAATGTACCTGAATAAGAGGTATAGAAAGCACAGATGTGGTAATGTTGAAGGAAAGAAGGCACACATGGGAGCTTATGCTGTATAATTCCATTTATACAATGTATCAACACAGGTAAAGCTCACCGTGCTATACAGGATTGTACAGATAATGATTAGAGAGGAGCAAGAGGATGCTTTGGAGGTTGCTAGTATTCTTCTGTTGTGTTTTTAAACTCCAACTGCTAATTACAAGGATGTGTTCATTTGGAGAAAATATAATAAACCACATATACAATGCCTACACTTGTGTTTGTATATGTTATCCTTCAAAAGCAAGTTTTAGAAAAAACCATGTCCATGTCCCATAGCACAGAGGCAAGCCTTCACTTAGTTATATTCACCTGTTTATCAAACTTCTATTTCTACTAAGGTGCAAAAAGTACAATTAGCTGCTACATCTCTGAGAAGAAAGAATTTTGCTGATGATCTAACAGAACTTGTGAGTCATCCATCAGGAGATGTTTTAATGGTGCCAAGAACTCAGTAAAGTCTGTGATGGATTTGGCAAGGTCATTTGTCATTTTCACATCAGCATGGTTTTGGCACCTGCTTCTCAGTAAAGAATTGCACTGTTGGAAACTCACTTTTGACAAAGATGGTCTGCTTCTGACCAAATGGTTTATGCTACAGCAGAGAAGGTGAGTAAAGCTGTCCCTGGCCATATTAATAATCAATACAGGTGGCTGATTCAGTAATTTCATGATTGACATGACTCATGGATTTTACAGTTTATGAAGACAGACTATGCCAAGTAATATTGTCTGGTCACTTTATCCTAGAGGAGTGCATCTTGTAGAAAGGTGTTCACATTCAGCTTAGACTTACAATGCAGATATTCTGCATTTTGATTTTTAAGTGAACTACATATCTCCCTTTAACCTGATTTTTGTTTTTCTTGGTCGTGGTGGTGACAATTTTGTTTTTGTTTTGCTTCTCCTTTTTTTACAGTACATTTTTTCAGAAATTATGGATAACATTCTCATGGACTTAATCATCTTTCATATTAGTTCTCAATACAAAATGGCATGCTTAACAGTTACAGTGATTTCATCCAGTTTTCTCTGGAACAATTTGTGACTGAACTGGTGAATATGTTATGCCCTAAGGTAATGCTAAATTTGGTTAATGCTGAACTTTCTCTCATCTCTCTTTCTCTCTTGTGCACATATGTAAAATAAAACTGCATATAAACACTGGGCAGCAGAATAGATGTTCATAAAAATAATCAAGGTAGGCATCTGGTTAAGACATGTGCTCAATTGTTTCTTTCAGCTTATTTAGAGCTCAGCATTTTCAACATTTCTGTAAGTAATTCTCTAGTCTTTATAAAGCAAATCCCAGTCTGGATTATTTATCCCTCCAAAAATAACTCATTAGTATAACTTTAAAAGTGAATATTTTCTATTTAATGTGTTTAGTGAATTGATCTCATGTCTACTTCTTATTAAGGTAAAAAGTTGAAATTATTCCCATATTTAACCCTAGTTTTCTTAGATCTGATAATATACCCTGTTGAATTAGTGGGTTTTTTTCAATGGATGATTTAAATTTAACGATTGACAGGCATACCATTGAAAGTGGTTATTAGAGTGAATGCCTAAGTTGTTAGTATTTTGCTAGTAAATACCTCAACCATTATGACTGTCTTCCAAACCAATATCTTTTGGCCAATGACAAGATAAAAAAATTCGCTAAATGGCTTACATGCTTGTGCACCAAGCCTGAGTCTGAGAGCTGTCTAGTAATTTTACTTCTAAACTTGGATAAATCCTGAGATTTTTTTAGAGCATCATCTTTATTTGAAACACATTTTTGTACAAGACAGCTGACAAATAACACTAACAGCATCATCTGTCATTTGACCAGTACTACATCATTATAGAAAGATCTAGACTTGAGCAAAACTAAACAAATTTAATAGAAGAAAAATTTAAATAACCTAGAGAGGGACAGGGTTGATGCTTGTCCAGGTGGGATTCTAATGATTGAATGAACAATAGGGGCATGCTAGGATAGGGAAATCAGGACTGTAACCAGTGGAGGCAGAATCCGTTAGGTCAACTACAGTCTTAGAATATAGCGGGAATTATTTTTAAGTATTATCTTTTAAAGGCAATTACCATTGTGTGTTCTTGATGTCTTTGTCAAAATAAATGGGCTCTAAACATGTGGATTTATTGCTGGGCTCTCTACTCTGTTCAATTGGTGTATATGTCTGTTTTTATGTCAGTACGATGTTGTTTGGGTTACTATAGCTTTGTAATCTATTTTGAAGTCAAGTACTGTAATATTCAGTTATTCTTTTTGCCAAAATTGTCTTGGCTATTTGGGTTATTTTGTGGTTCCATGTGAATTTTAGGATTGTATTTTCTATTTCTGTGAAGAATGTTATAAGTATTTTGATAAGTATTTTGTTGAGTCTATAGATTGCTTTGAGTATTAGGAGAATTTTAAAATATTAATTATTTCAATCCATACAGAGGGTATCCTTCAATTTATTTGTATTTTCAATTTATTTAATCAACATTTTATAATTTTCGGTGGAAAGACCTTTAACCTCCTTAATTACATTTATTCCTAGGTATTTTATTTTTGTAGAAATTGTAAATGGGATTGTTTTCTTGACATCTTTTTCAAGTAGTTCATTGTTAGTGTATAGAAACACTACTGATTTTGGTATCTTGATTTGGTGTCCTACCATGCTTCTCAATTTGTTTATTAGTTCTAACAGTTGTATGTGAGTTTTTAACTGAGTTTTGTGTTTTTAACTTTAAATAGTCAGCACTATTTTTATCTTTCTAAAACTTACTATTGCATTCATTGTTATGTTTGTTGATATATAACTTTTATTCATGTATTTTAATTGCTATGAATATACCAAACTCACTTTTCCTGTTGATGAACTTATATCCAGAGAGATATTTATTTGCTTACATCTAGAACATATGTTCATTGAAAACATCAACTTTATTTTGTTCATTAATGTATTGGCAGTGCTTAGAAGGGTATGTGGCATTCAATAAACATTTTACTCAAGAAGTAAATGAATACTTGAATAAACATTTAAATTTTACCAAATATTTTATTATTAAAAACTTTGTCTAAATTCTGGCAAGAAACAGATGGTGTGCTCAAACTCAATCATTTGAGAAAGACTTTGATAAAAGGATTATTTACAAAGAAATGGCCAGGATGTAGAAAAACCTTAAGGGTTATTTCAAAATTTTCTGCCTAATTATCAAACTTAATCTGAGGGAGAAAGAGAAGGAAGTAGTAACCAGAAACAAAGTAGAAACAGCTCATGGACAGGGCGGCCTTAGCTGTGACCTTAAGTAGAGGAGGCAACTTAGCAAAAAGGAAATGGGGCAGAGGTGGGAGGTAGACACCCTAATACTTCTCTCTTGGCCCCCTCAGATCCCTTGGCTGTGCTCCTCTTTAGACAAACACAACCACAAGCCAAAGGCAAAGATCGCATTGGTACCTTCTATAGAGTTTAGCCTCCAGGGACATGGCAGGCTGAAGACAGTGGAAAGTAGAAATGAAGGGTCAGAGGATATGTAGTTCCAGCATAGGACTTCAATGAACTTGCTTCCACATATTTTCTTATGCTATTGTCTAGAATTTCTTTAAGGCAAATATCAAGAATATTGAACTTGTTTAGGTAACAGAATTTGTACATATTCAACAATGCCAAATAATGAAAAATGGCTATTCACACCTAAAACCTGTGATCAAACTTAGTATCACTAGAATTGGGATAAACAGATATTATGTTCCTTATGATGTAAGGCAATAGTAGGACGCCATACCATCTCTGAAGTATTCATGCCTAAAATGTTGAAACTGAACTGAAACAAGCTGCAAGATCTATTAGTGCATAAGAATGCTGGGGGGCAGGGGAACAAGTTAAGTCATCATAAGAAAGCCTTCAGCCATATCAAAATGTGGGACATTCTGTATACAGGACAAATGCCCAGTTTTTCCAACGTATCAAATACAAAGAGATAAAAAAGATGAAAAAGAGAAATCAGTTTTAAAACTCTAGGAGACATATGCACTGAATGAAATATTTAGACTTTGGATTTAATTTAAACAAATCTACAACAACATTGTCAAATTTTTAAAAATATGGCCTTGGAACTATATAATAGTAACAAATGGCTATTCATTTTTGAGTGGGTCATAATGTCAGGGGTATGTATAAAAATGTCCATGTCAGTAAGACATGTATAGAAAAGAATTTCAGATAAAATAACAAAATGTGTTGGATTGTCTTTAAAATAATCCAGCAAATAAACAAACAAAAACTGAGGGGGGTGCATCAGAGGAGCAGTGGGAGTGGGTAGATGATATGATTTGGCAAAATGTTGGTAACTGTTGAAGTTGAATAATGTGTACACGGAAGTTAATTATATTATTCTCTCTAATTTTGTGCGTATGAAAATGCCCATAATAAACATGCTAAAAGAAAAAATTATTTTGAATGGCTTTTGACAATAACAAGGCCAATTGATTTTTACATTAGCAGAATATAAGGTTTCTCATTTTCCCACATCCACTCCATACTTACTACCTGAAATTATATTTATTTTGGACAATAGGTATATGTTTAATATTAACTTATTTTTCTTAAAACTTTACTTTCTCTAGATAATACGTTTCAACGTTATTTATTTGCTGACACTAGATTTTCCTATATGTGAATTGTTTATATATTTTAATTCATTTTCTATTTGGTTAACATTTTCTTGATATCTAACTGCTTTGTGTATGTTTTGTGTATTGAATTCTCAGTTATATTCAACGAAAATATCTTCTCTCAGACTGGTACTTGCCTTGTTACATTATTAATGCTGTCATTCATGTACCATTTTTAAAAACAATTATACATTGAATATTTTCTAAGAAAAAATATATTTTATATTCTTTTTCAGATGATTTACAGTTTTGTTTTTTGGGATTTCATTTTACATAAGAATTGAAGTGGAAATTATTTTTTTTTGTTCTCAAATGAATAACCCATCATTAGTTTTACAGAAGCATCTATAAGTTCCCTACTGATAAGTAATACGACTTCTTCCATGTATAGATTTTCAAATCATGTGTGGGTCTGCTTTTAGACACTGTTCCATTGAAATATTTGTACATCTCTGCCATATGAATATATGCCGAATTACTGTAGTTTTATCATAAACCTTAATGCCTGCTTGTGCACATCCCAAGATAATTTTTTTCTTCAAAATTGTTTTGTATATTTTTATCTTATATTTCCTAAGAACATTTGATGAAATTGTCATGTTCCATAAAACAACTACTGGCATTTTGATTGACTTATATTAAATTTACAGAATAATTTGGAAACATTTCCCATTGGTATTATATTGAGGCTTTCAGTCTACACACAGGCAGACATATCTCTAAATATTCAAGCTTCTACTAGGACCTTAAGTAAATATTTATAATCTTTTTTTTTTGACTTTCGCATTCTTCTATATTTGTTCCAAATATACTTCATATTTTAATGCTCTTACGAATATTTTAATATAACATTTTATTTGTCGTACATGTGTAAGAATAGTATTAATTTTGCAGTCTCATTATGTTACCATCAATTTCATCAAACTATTTATTAGCTGTAGTTTTTTGACTACATATTTTCTTGGATTTTCTTAGTAAAAATTCAAAAGCAGATTATAATATACTAACAGTTTTATTTCTTCCAATTTTTATACTCCCACATCAGTTTTTTTTCTTATCTTGCTGTACCGGTAGAACTTCCAAAACAATATGAAAAAAACAGAGATGATAGTGAATATCTCATTTTTTTTGCCAACTGAAATGGCAATGCCCCTGAAGTTTCAACAGTAAATTTATGTCTAATTTAGTTTACATTGTTGTCATTTTTGGTTTTTGTAATATGCTTAACAACTCAAGAAAATAACTTTCTATTTCAAATTTTCTAGCAGTCTGTATTAAGAATAAGTGTGAAATTTTGTCAAATATGTTTTTAGGATCTATTGAAATGATTATCAAATTTTTGTTTTTCTTCAAGCCATTACATGGTGTTTTTACATTAATTAGTTTTCTTAGCTGAATCATCATTAACACAAACAACAAAAACAAACATTTGTTAAATTTGATATGCTGATATTTTACATATGGTTCTTGAATATTTACATGTTATCGATTTTTTCCTGCCTATATTTTTGTTGCTTTTCTTTCATCTCTCCTTTTTCCTTCCATTCTTCCTTATTTCTTCTGTCTGTATTTTTCTTCTTATTGATTCCTTCCTCCTTTATTCCTTTGTACTATCATTGTCATACATATTACATCCATGTATGTTACAAATCCAACAATATCATGTTATCATCATTGCTTTATGGGGTCACATCTTGTAAAGAAGTTAAGAGAAGAAATGAGAATATATAGTATTTTAATATATTTTTAACCACCTATTTCTTTTTACAGTATCCGTCATTTCTTCTTGTAGATTTGAGTTAGCATCTGATATCACTTCTTCCCAGCCTGATGATTTCTGTTAGAACTTTCTATAAGGCTCTTCTGGTAAGAACACATTCTCTTGGTCTTTGTAAAGAAAAGTTTCTATTTGACTTCCATTTTTGAATGTTTGCCATAAGTTTACCATCATTCTTGGTAGACAATCTTGTTTTTATATCTGTTTTCAGCACTTGAAATTGTCATTCCACTGTCTCTGACCTCCCTAGTTTCTGACAGAAGTTATCCTTTATATCTTGAGATTTTTCTTCTGCTATTTTCAAAATTTTCTTTTGGTCTTAATCTCTCAATAGTTTACCTATGTGTCTAGTTGTGAATATGCCTTTATTCAACTTATAATTTGTTGAAGTGTTTGCGTTTATTGTTAAATAAATTTCTGGTTTCAAATCAATTTTGGGACATTTTCAGCTATTACTTCTTCAAATATTTTTCTATGCATTTCAACATTTCCTTTCCTCCCAGAACTCGTTATTACTCATTTCTTGATACAGTTGATATTTTCCCACAGGTTTTTTGTTGACTTTTCTTTTTTTTTTTTTTTTTTTTTTCTGAGATGGAGTCTTGCACTGTTGCCCAGGCTGGAGTGCAGTGGCGCGATCTCGGCTCACTGCAAGCTCTGCCTCCTGGGTTCACGCCATTCTCCTGACTCAGCCTCCTGAGTAGCTGGGACTACAGGTGCCCACCACCACGCCCAGCTAATTTTTTGTATTGTTAGTAGAGACGGGGTTTCACCGTGTTAGCCAGGATGGTCTTGATCTCCTGACCTCATGATCCACCCACCTCAGCCTCCCAAAGTGCTGGGATTACAGGCGTGAGCCACCGCCCCTGGCCTGTTGACTTTCCTTAATTTTTTTTTTCTCTGTTCCTCAGGTTGGATAATTTCTATTGCTCTAATTTCAAGTTCACTTATTCTTTCTTCTGCCTTCTCAAATATTCTTTTGAGCCCCTCACATGAGTTTTGTATTTCATTTACTGTACTTTCCAACTCCAGAATTTTTGCTTGATCCTTTTAAATAAAACCTTATTTTTGAGATTATCTATTTATTACATCCCCATTACCATATATCTTTTCCTTAAGCATGGTTCCTAATGTGATTTCAACCTATTTATAATAGCTATTCTGAAGTCTTTGCCTAATCTAACATCTGGGGACAATCAGAAGTTTCTATTTACTGCTTTTTCCTTTGAATTTGGATAGTATTTTCTTGTATATTTCCATGTCTCCTAATTTTTGATAATATATCAGCAACTCTGAATTTGGCTCTTAACAACCTTCAACCTGATTTGTTGTTTCTTTCTAAATTTGCCTAGACTACATCTGTGTAATTTAGGCAAGTTTATAATGTAATCCAATAATGCATGGCTGCTGATTTCTGCTCAATTTTTTGTTTGGTTTTATTTTTAAGCCTTGGTTCCTGTGTTGGCATAGCTTAGAGGTCATCCAAAGATGGGTCAGTTTTTTTTCTCAAATACTTAAAGCCAGTAAAGCTTCAACCCTCTGTCAATGGATTTATGTGTGGGCTGAAGAGTATATTCAAACTTTAAGTTATTTTCAAATTTGCCACACCTTTTCCATTCTGCCAGGCTGTCTTGTGACTCTTTTGAGAGTTATCTCTTCCCACCAGTCCCATGGAGCAGTTTTAAGTGGATAGTGTGTGTGCGTTCTGGTCACTCCACACACGCACAAAGTATATAGTGAGCTTATTGAGCCCTCTATAACTGTCTCACCCCCTGGAACTCTCTGTTAAATCCCCAGTTAGTCTGCTGACCCTTTCTGTTTCCTTGGTGCTGAAATAGATGCTTAGGCTAACAACACAACAAATGAAGTGTCTTCACCACCAGCAGCAACAAAGAAACTAGTTTTCACAGCTTGCCACGCCTTGGTGGAAGTACCATGACGACAGAGTTCAGGATGCGGGTTGAGGGAAAAGGAAGCAGTCCCGGACAGGAATGCCACAGACCTTTATTTTTCTTATACAAAGTTTAGTGATGTTTTATGAATAAAAACTTTGTTGCATACCCTTGGTAAAATTCCAGAGTACAAAATAGTTGCTTTGAACATTTCTTTCAGCTTTATACTTAATTTTTTAGAAGTGATTTTTTTTTTTATGTCCTCATTCCATCATGGTAGAAGTCAGGTCTCTATTACAAGTTTTTTATACTTTATGATGTATTGGATGATCTCATTTGTCAAGTGATTATGCCCTTTGTGTTCATTTATAACTGTTCCAACACCTTCAAGGTCTGAAAACTTCCCCTTTCTTGTGATTCCCTGAACCAGGAGGGATATTTGTGTCCCTTAAATTGTTTGTTTCCAATTTCAATTTAACCTAGATTTATTCTTTCTTGGTCAAGTTGGAGTCTTTTAGGTAAATCAAATTTTGTTTATCAATTTATCAGCTTTCAGTTGATGTGGCTCAGAAAAACACTTTTTCTTAAATTTTTTTTCATCATGTTAATACATTCGTAATTATCAGCTGTGAGCTCTAATTCTGCCAAAGCTGCCCTGCATGTTTAATTGGTTCTTGCTTTTAATACTCAACTTTGTAGTGAACAAATATGGACTTAGCTGTTGGTTACACATATTTATTGGGCCTCCTGTAATAACTCCCCTTTTCTACATTTTTTTGGATTTCTATCTTGATATTAACACATAATTTACTATTCTTTTAGTCTCTGCTTCTGCATTACAATTGCTTTTCTTTTCATGAACAAATGGTATCTATATAAAATTTCAGGTAATAATATCTTCACAAGAGAGAACCTCAGGTGATTACTCACTAATAAGTGACAAGGAAAATGATTCTGAGGTTCCTGGGTGATAATAAATATCAGTTACTACCTCGCCCTGATGGCTAGTTTCAATGTTCTGGAGGAATAATGGGAGGAGAGTAATAGCTATTACTATTGAACTACTTACTGTATACTGGATGCTAAGGTTTATCTACATTACCTAAATTATTTTGTGTAGTTCTCACCAAAAAAAGCCCACACACAAACCATGAAGTAGGTATTGTTAATATTCATATTTTTAAAGTTAAGAAATTGACACTCAAGAGATGGGTTTGAAATCTTGATATTGAAGACCCCAGTATGATGTGGTTATTAATCAGAACAGATGCTGGCTTCACACAACAGGGTGGCTTTACTGGTGCCGCAAGCACCAGTGCTGCTGAGGGGAAATGTGAAAAAAGAGTAAAGCAGTACTGCATTTATTTTCAAATGTCAGAAATGTCAAATAATATCAGCTTAACAATTAAGCTGGTTGGTAGGTGCAGCAAACCACCATGGCACATGTTTACCTATGTAACAAAACTGCACGTCCTGCATATGTAGCCAGGAAGTTAAAACAAAATAAAATTAAAAAAAAGTAAGCTAATATTATTTGTTAGATATATAAATCTTGTTATTTCATACAGCAACAATCAAGAATTTGACTGGCTCTGGATTGCATATGCCTTCACAGAGTCATATTGTATCCGGGACATTTTTAGCATCTTCTTTGGTGGATTTTGTCCTTACAGGAGAAGGATGCTGAACCTTCAGATATCAGGCCAGCATTCCCAAAAGAAAGAAGGAAGAATGGTGAAAGGCAAAGGATCAAAGAAATAGGTTTGTAACTTTTTTAAGAGCTTTCCTTGATCCCATCTCTGGAATACAATGACTAGGGATACCACCAGACATTAGGTGCCTCCTGATGTGACACAGCATCAAGTATTCATATAGAATTATATATCATTTTGTTAAGTATTCTTGCCAAGAAGTTGAACTTGAATCTAATCAGTGAAAAGCTAACATCCAATTTACAATAAATACAGACTAAAGAAACAGAAAAATTGATAAGAATAAGCAATCATTTATAATAATATTTAGAATATATACCATTTTATAAAACAAGCAACAAATTTGAATCAACAATTCAAAAATACGAAGAAAAATGAAAGAAAAATTATGGGTAAAACTGTTCTTGATTGAAAGAGACTAAAATCAAATACAATTAGTAATCTTTGTTTGAATTCTAATTCCAAAGGGCAATTTTTAAAAAGAGAATTCAAAAATCTTGAATTGGCCTGAATGTTATATAATATTAATAAAATACATTGATTTTATGATTTTATGGGTGTGCACATGGTACAGTATGATTCTGTAAATAAAATTTTCATACTTTTGAAAAATGCATGTGGAAATAGATTTAAAATGATGTGGTTGTGTATTTGCAGCAAGAATAATAACAACAATCAGTAGAAGACAGGATTAAAGGAAGTGTGTATAGAGAGGGCAGAGCACACAGAGCCAATCCACTGAATCTACACTGGTACACTTCAATGCATGGTATGAAACTGAAAAAAGGAAAATAAAAAATAACACACACGAAAAGGGTTAAACTAGGTAAACATAGCCCAAAGAGTTAGACTACTTTCTTTTTTCTTCTTCTTTTTTTTTTTTATTCCAGTTTCTTTTACCAGTTATCCTTGTGCTATTCTGCAAATTCTCTGATATCTTGCCTTTGGAGACTGTCCTCTTTTTTTTTTTTTTCTCTGCTCTTCCACTCAGGTGTGGCAGTCAGTCATTTTCCCATTTTCACCAATAGCCACTCATGTACATTTGATCTGGAGCCTACTTTACTGATATTTGCGGACATAGCAGATGTTCATATAGAAGAAATACAGACAACTTAAAATTAGGTTCAGCCTTTGGACTTCCCCCATGTTTCTTTATCCTCTCTCACTCTTCTCTTTTTTCTTTCTCACATTTTCCAGAAATTTCCCCATGTATTACTATATGGAACAATATAGCTTTCTGCTCTCCTTCATATTTCTAAAGCCTCAATGAATCTGATAAATAATTCACTATCTAGTCTGAGTTTCACCCTCATCTCATACTAGTCTGTAAGATATAGCCAGATTTACACAGAGAATATAACAATATGTGCTCCCCATGACCACATCCCCTTTACCCTTGCCAGAAAGCAAAACTAATGACAGTAATTTTAGTTTTAAATATTTTTATTTCTATTTCAATTATATTTATATAATCAAAATCATAGTTACGCTATTTTTATTTTAATTTTGTTTTTCTCATGTCCTTAAGTGTTATTGGCAATTTTATCATTCTTGTCTTTTGTCAATTTCCAAAAAGGAAAAACATTATATTTCCTTTGTTATTGTCATCCACTGTGGGAGATAAATTAGCTATATTCTTCTCTGTCTTCACAATCATGTTATTTCAGAATGCTTTGATACAAAGACTTTTCCTGACTTTGATTGCTGGAGCAACACATTGTCATAGCTGTGACAATAATATTAAAGTGTGATGTTGAGCAAGCAGTTGTGGGCTTCAGTTTTTTTCTATCTATAAAACAAAGGATTTAAGATAAATTATCACTAATGACCCCTGCAATGTTGGTTTTATTAAAACTGTATATTCTCCTTCATTTTACAAATGTGAGGGAATTTAGCATAGGAAGATTAACTAACAGCCCAAAGGCAATATTAGAAGACCTGATAGGTCTTTATTTCTATCTTCTTAATATATTTGTCTAAAAAGGTAAAACTCTTCCAAGTCACAGTACAATACAGACATTATGGACTAGTGTGCTCCATAGATGTCACACACACCATCCAAGCTTTTGGATCCACACACAGAGGTGGAAAGAGAGGGTCACTTTTCCTTTAGGGAGAAATGACTTTAAAGGGATATGTCACTGGAGACTACAGTAAAAGTCTATGAAGTGGTTGTAATGTCAGACCTCTTAAAACAACTTTAAAAGTGAAATATCTGTAGACTTTGAATCAATCTACTTGGGCAGCATCACCTATGAGCTCTAACAAATACAGTAGTCCCCTCTTATCTGCAGGAGATATGTTCCAAGACCCCCAGTGTCTGAAATCATGGGTAGTACTAAACTATGTGTGTATGTATGTGTATATATACACTATGTGTGTATATATATAGTTTAGTACTACCCATGGTTTCATATATGTGCATATATATATATATATATATATATATATATACTATGTGTTTTCCTATCATACAAACCTATAATAAAGTTTAGTTTATAAATTAGGAACAGAGAGATGAACGATAACCAATAATAAAATGGAACAATTATAACAATATGTCATAATAAAAGTTATGTGAATGTGGTCCTCCCTCCCCCTCAAAATATTTTCAGTCAAAACAGTTGACTGTGGGTAACTGAAACTATAGAAAATGAAACCGCGGATAAGTGGGGCTACTGTATGTATAAACAGAGGACAAGATTCCCATCAACGGTGTCTTTGCCAGCACTGAGGAAATGTTTAATGAAACACTGCTGGGCTGGAGATTTATAAGGAGCAGATGGCAAGAGAGAGGAGCTTTTGAAATGCAATTGAACTGGATAAGTTCAAGCAGGGAGGACAGTAGAAATGCTTTAAAGATGAACAAAATCACAGTTTCAAGTAATGCACCCTAGATGTGGATTGCTGGGAAACTGTGAAAAACAGAGTCATTCTTTTTGATCAATGCTTAAGGTTGACTGAGTCTAAATTGTAGACCTAATTGTAGACTTAAATTGCAAACCTAACAGCAAGGTAGAACTGTGTGAATTTAGACACGTATTATAGAATACATGAATAATTTAAATAGTGCTGATCTGACGTCTTTTTCTGAATTACCTGTGAATAAAAACTCCGTGCTAAATCAATTGCAAAGTAAACACTTGAATTCCTACGACTATACAACTTTTCATTATAATAAGAATCACCAGTTTTAAACAAACACATGTAAATAATTCTTTTACATTTATTAGATTAGATTTCTCAATGTTTTTCATCAAGAAACTCCTTTTTAACTGACTTACTTTATAACCTTGTATCAATTTAATAATACTTTTATTCCTTAGATTTCTAGTTAATTCAGAACACATTCATATTTCTATAAAACTTGCCTTAATTTGCTGTAATTTATTTATTTTGAAAATGTAAACTAAGACTTAGTATGAGCTGACGATGAACCCCACACTGGACTAAGGACTTCATATGTATTTTTTTCACTTAATATAAAAATCGCCTTATTAAATATGTTCTGTATGCACTCTCATTTTGTAACTCAGGAAACTGAGAGTAAGTGAATGTAAGTAACTTTATCAAGCTCACACTACTGGTGAATGGTAAAGCTAGGACTAAACCCTACATCTTTTTATCTCCCAGAATAGTCATCTAATATTTCATATAACACATAAAGGGACCCAAATCATGATTTACCAATCCCAGGAGCTTGAAAACTCTTAGTTGATTCTTTTCTACTTTATAAATTTGCAATGCAAACAGACTTTTTTAAATCATTGATCAATCAACATGAAATTATTGTTGCAACTGATTTTAGCACCTTTAATAGACATTGTGGTTGAGTCCGCAATATCGATTTTATTCCAGTTGATAATTTGAACAAGTCATGGCAATCTTAAACTTCTTGCTTGGTCATTGAAGAGAGACAGGGATCTTGGCCATTTCAGGGAAAGATGAATACAGAAGCATGAGGCCATCCTACTCTCTTATGAGCAACTAGGCTTAGGGTGAGGCCAGCATTGTGGATGAGAGAAAGAGCTGGGGTCATTTATTATACTGTGGTTCTCTGGATATACTATGGGTATATCTGTGGGTCTCTGGATATACTTATTCTAAGTACATCCCTACCTAAACTACTTTGTGAGTTTATACATTTAGTAATTTTAAGACAGCTTGAGTAGAATCTCTTGCTATTTGCATACAAAAAGTCGGGGTAGTAAGAAATCAGGGTTGATAGTTATCATAAGATAACATTAGAATGAGCTTGAAAGTCAGGTAAAAGTTTGTAACTGATGCTGTAGAAAATAAGGAAACATTCTTAGTTTTAAAAGAAATGAGCATGATGCAAGATTTCATTAATACCCCTGTCCTGGAAGTGTTTTGCAGCATACATTCTTTGGTGGAGTGTGATAAGACCCTTGCCTAATATTAAAGACATAATGAGAATAGAGCTTGTATTAAAGAGAGTACAGGAGATAAGCCAAATGTGTGGTAAAAAATTAATATGACTTTTATTCGCTTATGCTAGGGGATTGGTTAGATTCTTGGGATAAAGAAGAAGGAAATGACGAACAGGAGTAAGAGTTCCCTTGGTTGTATAATAGTAAGAATAAGAAACAGCGTTAATACAGAGCTTTTCTATGTGCTTATCATTGTTCAAGGTCTATAGATATATTGACTAATTTAATTATCCGATGGTCTCATGTGATAATTATTACCTTCTTTTTACAGATGAGAAAACAGACTGACTTGTCCAAGGCCACATAGCTAGTGAATGGCAGAGCTAGGATTAAAATTCATGTAGATAAATTGCAAGTATGGAGCATTTGGGGGAAAGAAACTGGCCTTAAGAAAATAAAGTGGCTGGGCGCGGTGGCTCACGCCTGTAATCCCAGCACTTTGGGAGGCCAAGGTGGGCGGATCACAAGGTCAGGAGATCGAGACCATCTTGGCTAACACGGTGAGACCCCGTCTCTACTAAAAATACAAAAAATTAGCTGGGCGCGGTGGCGGGTGCCTGTAGTCCCAGCTACTCGGGAGGCTGAGGCAGGAGAATGGCGTGAACCTGGGAGGCGGAGCTTGCAGTGAGCCGAGATTGTGCCACTGCAATCCGGCCTGGGCTAAAGAATGGGACTCCGTCTCCAAAAAAAAAAAAAAAAAAAAAAAAAAAAAGAAAATAAAGTAAAGATTTTTAATATGTGGGGTTTGAGATGATGATGAGGCTCCTGAATATCTAGGATCAGAGCTTAGGTGCATGAATGGTTGCAGAAGTGAGTCATAGAAGTGGTAACCTAATTATATCACATAAATTTGAAAAATATCTTTTCAAGACTATTTTTAGCATGAATTTAAATGTTACTGAATCAATATGTCTTTAATTTCCAAAAGAAATATAAAGGGTACAAATAAAATAACAACAACAAAAAACAGAATTTGGCAGTAAGTTTGTTCTTACTATGGTGTTTGTAAAAAAGTGTGTTTCAAATAGAAATGAGGTTATTGTTTGATTAACTTTTGCCAGTCTATCTCACTATTATTCTATTTTTTTCTATCTAACTTGGTAGAAATACTAAATATTATGATATGACCACATCATGATTCTGATAAAACAGCCCTTATTCTTCTTTCCATTATTTAGTAGTTAAAGAATCACTCTGCAAATGATTCTTCTTTCTTCAAAGATCAATCTATTTTAACAAAGTTCCCTAAGATACATAATCACCTGAAAAAGTGGGGAAGAGTTTACTTGCATGATAAATTATGCTTCTTCTGTGTATTGTATTCCCAGGTTTACTTGATAAATGGTAGAAAGGAGAAGTGCCTGCAGCCTTATGGATTAAGTAAAATGCCTAGACTTATGCCAGGCAAAAGCATCATTTCAGACTCTATCAACTGGAGATCTTTTATGGTCTTCATCTGGGATAATTACTTAAGTTATCAGTCTATCATTAATTCAAATATGAGTTTTGACTGATTTAATCAGACCATCAAATGTAACTGGAGGCTTTGCTTGAGTGTGCAGATAAAGGAAAGAAAGAAAAACATAAAGAATAAGGGATTAAATTTTATGCTGTTGTGGAACAATAATTTATTCTTGCCATACCACAACTACCATTTTCGTTTTAGGACCTACTTTTCTTATTTGGATATATACAAATAATGCAAAATAGTGAGCTTTATCAAATGAAGTATATATACTACACATTAAAATGTGTGTATAACCTATAAGGAATATATGATCTTAAAACTAAAGTTCCATCTAGACAAAGTGGTTTCGAGATGTCCTCTTCAGACTATATCTTCTTAGCTTCAAGTCATCAGGAAAATGTACAGCTATTGACCTTAAATTTAACCATCTAAAATATTTAAACCATTGCAAGCTTATCTTTAAAAATTGACAAATTAACATCCTCAAACAATATTTAATGTAAAATTATAGGCATGCAAAAATTTAGGAAAGTATTTATTTCATATGAACTTTTCCCAGGTTTTTAAAAATACTTATTGACTGGCACCTACTATGTGCTAGGCAATGTGCCAGAAATCAGGATAAAATCATACACCTGGCACACAGCACTGACATCACCCACAAGGCATTCACTGATATTCCAGTAACAAACACAGATGACATTGAAATAAAACATTCTACTTCCAATTTTAAAAATAAATGTGGGCATTTCTTATTAATAAACTTTTACCTTATCATGTGCCTCTGAATTTTGAAGTTATTACAAAATAGTCCTGGCTTTTCAAACCCTCAGGGAAAATTCCCAATTATAAAATTTCAGCTTCATCTAAAAACGTATGTACCTTCTACTTTTATTGATTTTCCTAAAATAGTGTTTTCTCTAAATAGCATAAATGCAAATAATTTATTATTATTGCAAAGATATACTTCATGTAAACCATGTAAGTACTTTTACATCATTGCATTGTTCTATTTCTGATTTTGATTAGTTTCAAATAAATAACTACATGAGATGAAGTGGGAGAAATGTTAAAAATTTTGCAGAGTAAATATTATACACCAAATTGTATTACCCTCCTTACCTTCATTTTTTTTTATTTTCCCAAAATAAAGTGAGATATTCTCCTGTTACCTGGAACTAAGATGAAAAAAACTCCAACCACTTATTTGAGTCATAAATGAATTGCAAATTGATGGTTGTATATTTATTTGAAGAGTAAGAATAATAAGCACTGTACCTTCTATAAAAATTAATACAAAAGATTATTTTTATCTGAGCATAAAAATTATGCAAGAGATAATGTTTGTGACAAATATATACCATTTGTCTAAAGTTTGATTGCGAAGAACAAGTTGAAAAATCTAATATTTGTTTAACAGTTTTTAAACTATGTTTAAATAGAAGGCAGAAGCATAATTATGTTCTCTTGTAATGCTTTTATGAATTTTATGCTCTTTATTCTGCAGCATTCTGCAAACATATTTTATGTTTAAAAAGGGGTGCTAATAAATGTGTGTGGAGAAAATGAATAAAAATAGTTTTATTGGAGAGAATATGACTTAGGTCATGTTTCTTTTCCTCCTATCCCACTCTCTGAAATGTGGCCAAAGGCAATTCAATTTGTGTTTTATCTGAGGTGATGCACTGCTATACATCCACTCCGGGTGGTGAGAGAGCCTCAAAGGGGGTTACTGAGGCAGAATTAGATTAATCAAGTTCCCGCTCCATTCTGCCTTAAGGGAAAGATGACACCTGCTTGGGCAGCTTCAAAGTGTTGAAATCCTTTCTGCTTTCATGTGGTTATTACGCATATTCTCTGGTGGCTTGAATGAGGGGAATGCATTATAGTTTTAAGCTTTGATGCCCCATTAAGATGAATATGCAACTAATGAGCTAAGAAATTACCGCTCCTACTTCCATCCGCCCCTCCTCCACTATCATGGGGAACCAGCTCATCAAGTTGGGAGAGAGTCTTCTGAGTTCTTAAACCACTGGCTATGAAATTTGGCCAAGGAGCATATTCAAACACATGTTTAGTATATTAACAATATAAGCAATAAGTAATGCTTCAACTAATAAAGAAAGAACAGTTTGTCTTTTAATAATGAATGCAGTCCTATTATGAAATTTGAATATAAACAGGCACAAAACCCAGTGAACACTATTCATAAGCTAAATGTACTTAGTACTGTCAGTGTTTTGTAATTCAAGTAACTACCTTCACATGTATGTCTCACCAAAACATAGAATATTTTGTAAAACAAGCAGTTTTTGTCACCTCACTAACACTTGAGGTCTGTTTTTTTAAAGCTGTAATGCAGCAATTTAAGGCAGTCTGAATTTAAAATATGTCTTTGCTGCTTAGATTAGGCGATATAGGAATGAAGCAATTTCAGGGGACAATACTGGGAGCTGAAGCCAATTATATTTCAGTGTTATTCACGGATATTCCTACCTGCCAAGTGGAGTGAGGCAAGTTGTATTCAGACTGTGATCTATGAGCATGGATATGAAACTCAACTTTCTCTTAAGGGAAATCTTCTAACAAACAGTTGACAGGGCAAAACGCTGTTAGAAAGGAACAAATAAAAAATTTAATGAAGATGATGCGGCCGGGCGCGGTGGCTCACGCCTGTAATCCCAGCGCTTTGGGAGGCCGAGGCGGGCGGATCACGAGCCCAGGAGATTAAGCCCATCCTGGCTAACACGGTGAAATCCCCGTCTCTACTAAAAATACAAAAAATTAGCCGGGCGTGGTGGCGAGCGCATGTAGTCCCCGCTACTCCGGAGACTCAGGCAGGAGACTGGCGTGAACCCGGGAGGCGGAGTTTGTAGTGAGCCGAGATCAAGCCACTGCACTCCAGCCTGGGCGACAGAGACAGACTCTGTCTCAAAAAAAACATGCAAAATTTTTAAACAGGGTATTTTATAATTCAGCTTTTGTGTAAAGAAATCATTGAGGGAAACATGATGTAAGCACTAATCCTCATAAGAGGTAAGAGTTCTCTTACCTTGAGTCGAAGTTTTATTTTTCCTATTTCTTGACTTTTTGCATAGTTTTTTTAAAACTGCAATATATTTAGTTGGATATTACACTGTTAGCTAGAATAATGTGTATATTAAAATACATAATACTGAAATAATTTTTTATCCATAATCATACATTTAATTCTATTCGAGTTCAAGAAATACTATTCATTGATCTCAAAGAAAATTAAAAGATATTTGTTTAAAAAATAGTATTTAGCTTCCATGAAATATCAAAGTTACAAGTAAATTCTTAATTTAAAAGTAAGAGCTCATACTCCTTTTAGAGATAACTCACAAAAAAATGGTATTGCTTATAGGTAGGGAAAAATTTGACGTGTTAGGTTACAAACACGAAAAAATATTGTATTCATGAAATTTTAGGGTATATATTTTCCAGGGCTTTTGGGTAATGCATAAAGGTCAGGGTTTCACAGCATAATTATAATAAAAATGTAGATGAGACCAAATCATGTCTTTCCAGTTAGAATTAATAAATGAGTAAGAATTTGTTTCCTAAATACAAATTTTCATGATGATGTTTGCCAAACTTAAGCACTTGAAATCATCAAAAATTAATTTAGGTGTTTATTTAACCTAAATTCAGTATTTTCTAGATTTCTAAGTTTAAAATAAAAATGAATACAGAGCTTCAACTCAAACACATTTCCTATTTTTATAACTTGGAACATTTTTTAATAAACTATGTAGAATAATGTCTCTGGAATTATGCATATTTCTATATTTAAGCTTAATGTAATTGTCCAGTTATACAATAGCCTGGTGCTTCACTGCTTAATACAATTTTCCTCATGTATTGCTTCCTGAACATTTTATTTTTTTATTTTTAAACACTGCATTCTAGAAACATTGTGATTAAAATGCAGAGCAAATTTTTCTTCTTACTAATAATCATAAATATTTTACAATTTAGACACTACCATACTTGTTAGGAAGTTCAAAAATAAATAGATCACAATGTGATTAAGTATACGTTTTAGTCACTTAAAACATTTTTTAAAGAGGTATTTTTTTTTCTTTGAGATTTGCCTTTCATTTGTCCTTGGTTGTAATGAACTTTTTATAATAAGCTGGTGTCTTTAAACCAGTAACCATTCTATTTCATAGGAAATGAAGTATATTTGAAAATTAGAACATATAGTTTACTTTCAAAAAACCTAGAAGTAACATTTAACTTTGTTTTTATGTCCAATATGCAACACATTTTGAGTATTTATCTGTAAATGATCTTTGTTTTTTAGTTATCTTTTGTAATCATACACTGTCTATATTTGACAGAAGACATGGATATCAGTAGACATGAAGGACATGCTGATTGAAATATTAGTATGTTCAAAAGGTTTCTGACAATTCATGAATGACAGATGAATACTGAGTTATTGAGAGACAACTATGTATGTTTTAGAAAGCAATGACCCTCTTCTAAACAAGATTTTTCACTGTGTATGAATGTAGTTATTTATATTTATTTGTAAATGCCAGAGAATATTTTCTCAATTATGAGTATTCATGCCTTTGGTCGCTAGTTGGAACAAATAGTACTCATATTATTACCATATATTCCTTCTTATAGTAATATGAGTACTATTGTTATTTTTGTTCTATATAAACACAGAATTTTATTCTATATAAAATAACTGCTTGTCATTTTAAATTCCTGTTCCTGTTTATAAAAAATATGTTAACCTATATGTCATATTTGAAGAGTTCAGCACTCCTATTTTGATTCAGGAATTCCACTCCAGTCTTGGCATAGCCATTTTGTAATACATTTGTTAAAGCCATTAAGTTATATGGAAGATTTTAGAAAGCACAACCATACACCCGTATGCCTGCTCATGTCAGAGTGGTACTTAATTTTTCTAAATATTATTGATTTAGGATGTACATAAAATTATATACCATTATGTCATATTTCAGTAATTTTTTCCTTTCATTTAAATATCACAGGAGACAAGATAGACATTGCCTTTCCTATACTGTCTCTTTGACCAAACATTAGGAAAACACCAACCATAACCTGAAGGCAATTTATACTCTAAGCATGGAAACATTTAACTAAATTATATTTTATACAAATATATGGAAAAACCACTGTAGTCTTCAGTGCTTTGTTGTGAAAACAGGTATAAAAAGATGTTACAGATTAATGGCTTGCTTGTTTCATATCAGAGGAAAAATTTTAAAAGAACAGAATGGAAAAAATTGATCTCATATAACTGAGAAGAATGAGCTCTTTCAACTTTAAATTTGATTCATGCCTTCTTTAGTGTGTGTGTGTATTTGTGTGTTTGTGTGTTACATATCAATACATATAGGATATCTAAAATATATACATGAAAATCATTTTATTATGTGTAGAGGCAAATGAAAACAGGGAACATCAGCCATTAATATAAAAAGTTCATTATTGTTTGTGTAACGATGCAATTGTATGTTTGATATAATGGGGGGACCTGCTACAGATTATTATGTTATTTTAATACCACCAGTGGCACTTGTTCTGCATGTATTGTCATTCAAGAAAAAAAATCATGTCCAACAAGAATTTGAATTCAGAATCTTCTAATCCTGCCTTAAGAGTGTGTTCAATTTCAGGCAGTAGCCCACATATCCAAGTTAATTTGTAATGATTCTACTAAGTGCTGACATGAAAGAAGACTTCAATGACCACCAGTGCTCTTGTTTCCCCAGTGATTCTCTACAAATCATCTCATATACCACAGCACAAGGCTAGAAGCTAAAAAAATGAATACAGCAGTAATTTCTTTTCGACAATGATTTGACACCCAGCTGATGGGAGTAGCTAGCTGTATGACCTCCAGACTGTTAGCTCTGCTAAAAGAGATTCACTTGAAACACCCATGGGGTTATGGATTCCTGCTAATAGCAGCAATAGAATGGATGATAAAAGTATAGCAGGGTAGAAATGCTTTCTCAATTAATTTTCCATCATGTTAAGGCCATTATCATTGGATGTCATCTAGCAAAATGGGGTGATACTCTCTAGGACCTATGAAAGTTTCTCTTACTTAGAACAATGTATGGTAGGAGATAATAGCAAATCAGACTGTTAGAACTGTTCACCTTCAAATAAATCTTTTATAATATTGATCAACAAGCATTGACAACTGAACTTGGGTTAAAAGTTATGCATGTGGGAAGGGGTAGAAATGTGCATTTGAGGATGGGGTATAGATAGATATGCCTTCAATGAGGAGATTTTAAAAATTCAAATGATAAATTGTTTCTGACTAAAGCAGTAACAGAGAAGACATATACATATAAGGCAGTAGTGTACTTGCTTATGGGTTTAGGAGGGTTCCTATTTAGGCTGCTGGCTTCTGATGAATAAATGTAAACAGAGAAGGAGTAGCCTTTAACATTAGGTCATCTCCATTGAAGATAAACTGCTTATGCAAGCAGTACTGTTCAGTTTAATACTTAAGTTCCCCAACTGTATTAAATTGCCCCCAAAATGTAGTGTAAATAAAAGGAGTTTTCTCAGTTGTAACTGGGAAAATGAGAGGTCTTATAGACAAAGTGAGGTGTGATTTTATGTGTGTGTGTGTGTGATATATGTATGTAAAAAAGGAAGCTGATTCAGAAGCTAGGGTTAAAAGTTTAGGTTACATTGCCAGGCGAGGTGGCTTACGCCTGTAATCCCAGCACTTTGGGAGACTGAGGTGGGCAGATCACGAGGTCAGGAGATCGAGATCATCCTGGCTAACACGGTAAAATCCTGTCTCTACCAAAAATACAAAAAAAAAAAAAAAAAAAAAAAATAGCCAGGCATGGTGTCAGGCGCCTGTAGTCCCAGCTACTTGGGAGGTTGACGCAGGAGAATGGCATGAACCTGGGAGGCGGAGCTTGCAGTGAGCAGAGATTGCGCCACTGTGCTCCAGCTTGGGCGACAGAGCGAGACTCCGTCTCAAAAATAAAAAAAATAAAAATAAAAAATTAAAAATAAAAGTTTAGGTTACATTACATTTTCCCAAAGTGGTATTTTTTTTTAATCTAACAAAAATGAAGTTCATTAAAATCTAAATCATAGTTTATTTCAACATCTTCAGCATCACTTTTTATCACTATTCCTTCCTTCCATATTAACATGAGTATTTGAATACTAAAGAAAATTACATTTGTTGTTCTACATTAAGTGGTCAAACAGAACAAAGTATACCCAATCAATAAAAAATTTAAATTTCTTTATATGGGTCAAGGTTTCATTTGAGATTCAAGAAATACTTATGCCTAAAAGAGACTTTATTTAAAAAGAAGAGTCATAAAAGCAGAGTCATAAATAAAGCTCTAAAATGACTTTGAAATTATTTAAAAAAGGTAGCATTATTTGCAAATAATTTAATTCGCCTCTTATCTACTTGATCTACTTCAAATCTTGATCCATTTTTGATTCTTTTCTTTCTCTCTTACTATATATATTTAGAATTCTTTCACATCCCTGAAGAGATTATGAAATCTGATAGCCCTCCCAAGAGATATCAATCATGATGCTACTTTGTACTTCCCCTTCTTATTCACGTTGGTATGTATACATGATGGCAATGGGGCCCATTTGGAGCAGTTGTTCTGGGGACATCAGCTGCAGCGGAGGAGGTGTAGCTGGTGCTGCATGCTCCACTGAGCTGATAAGAGCTGGGAACAGGCGGGAGTCCCGACCACTACTGAATTAATGGGATGGGAGTCCCAGGTTCCTGGGGGCAGCTGCAGCCATCCAGCCCAGGCTCCGGACCCAGGCATCCCTGTGTTCTCTGGGGCCCGGGAAGCTCCCCTGCCGCTGCAGGCTAGGAAATGCCTGCTCTGCTCCCTTGCCTCTCCCTGCTCCCAGCGCCAGCCAGCTGCTGGGCATAGCAAAGTTGTGGCTGCACCCAGCCACTGTCATAACCCAGTTGGGTGTGCACGTGCTCAGAGCAGTATAGACATGCCAGCCCACCACTGCTGCTGCCTCGGCCCACCCCAATACTTTGGGCACTGAAAAGCACAGGAGGGAGGCCGGGGGATGGTGCTAAGTGTGGCCTGGCTTGCGCCTGCAGGTGCCCTTTGGCATGAACAGCTTGTGTGCCATGGACAGCAGGGGAGGCAGACAAATTCCTGAGTGGAAATGGATGGGTGCCTAGTAAAACTCCACCTTTAAGCCAGGGACAGTCTGAAGCCTGATGGCGGGCTGCCACTTTTGGGTGGAGTCTGCAGCCCAGAATGAGAACTTATGGTGCTTTTTGTGGGCCCACCCATGGCCACCCATGGCCCAATCAGCACCCACTGAGTCACCCACTTTGGGTCTCCCTGAGGGCTGTTCTGTTGCTCAATGAAGCTCCTCTCTGCCTTGCTCACCCTCCAGTTGCCTGTGTACTTCAGTCTTCCTGGACGTGGGACAAGAACTCAGGACCTGCCAAATGGCAGGACTGAAAGAGCTGTAGCACAAACAGGGTTGAAACATGCCCCCCACTCACTACCTTATGGGCAATGAGGAGAGAAGAGCTGTAGCCCTTTGGGGAGCCCAGACCTAGGAACTTCCGGAGCCAGGGCCGTGGTGCCCTCTTTGGGGTTTATGGTTCCTGGTTTCTCCAAACTTCCGGGAGCCACTGCATTCCTCTCATCCAGAAACGGGTGCCTGCTGCAGAAGCCACATGTGGTACATCTGATCCAGCTGTAGCCTCACACAGAGCCAGCACCTGTGCCGGCGCCTGAAGCTGCCCGCCTTGCCGCAGCAGCAGATGTGCCTGGCTGTGCGCAGTGACCAGACCCCACGCTTGCTCACCCACACACCCCTCACCGCTCGGCGCTTGGCTCACCCTTGGCAAGTGTGGGATCCGGGCCAGTAGCGTGAGCTGAGTGCAGCCTGCCGAGTCAAGTGGGCGAAACAAGCCCAGGGGGCCTGAGCAAAACTCTGGCAAAGGTGCCAACGGCCTCAGAGGTTTTAGGCTGGAAAAGCGACACCCTAAGGATCATGTGACATACACACGTTTCACTCAACTCTAGTACTTGTCATAAATATGCATGTCGGCCTGCTTTGTGCATATGCATATCACTGAATTCTAGTCCGTACTGTTATTTTAATAATTTTCCTCACTTGTTGTTAATAACAGATTAGGGACTAAATCCTTGATACCTTGTTCAGTGCTGTTTCAGTGAAACTATTGAACTCTCCCTATACTATTGAAAACAACATGAGATATGTTAGTTCATATCTATAGCTAAAATCTGTTGTTTGTATGTTTTTACATTAAATTATATCACTATATCCCATAATTTGATTCCTATTTTTATATAGTTAATGCATTTATTGTTTTTGTTTTCATTTGTTTTCCCAATATTTATCATCCTCATGTTAACTCCTTGCAGTAAATAGTTAAATTTCGTCTATATGTGGTCTTAGGATACAAGGTCCAAAAGAATAGTTTTCTTTAAAAATGTGGGTATCAAAGACCTTACTGTAATTTCAGGCTCACAACATTTAGGACAATATTTTTTTGCAGGGAATTCAAAAATAGTAATAACACATAATAATAAATCTGTATTGGTTATAATTTAAATTATAGCATAAGTAGTGGTTCAGAGACCATACAAGGAACTTAGCATGTTATTGACTCTGGAAAGAGCAATGAAAACTTACCATTTAATAAAAATCTAAAGAATATGAGTGTACATGTGTGGGATGTATATGTGTGTGTGTGTGTATAATTCTGTGTATGTGTGTGCTTATTGTGCTGTGATACCCACATAATCAAAAGAGCAAAATGACACAATAATTAAGACTGTATGGACTGGAATCAGACAACAGTGTGTTTGAATCCTATCTCTGTTATTTGTTAATTGTGAAACATTAAGCAAGCTACTTATTCTCTCCTAATTTTGGTGTAGATTATCTGTGAAAGTGAAATAATAATTCTTAATGTGATAAATCCTACATTGAATTACCCTTTCCTTCTCTGCCTAGCAGTGAAATACGCTTCCCTGATCCAGTGACTCTGGGCTTGTTGAGGCCGTGGAGTGTGACAAGACATAATTCATAGAGGCTTCAAACGTAGCTTGCGTGAGTAGGATTCCTCTCATATGCTGCCAAGATCCACTTCAAGAAGAACATATCACAGGTGTCATTGGACCAATGAGAACAGAAAAGCACTTGGAGTGGATCCAAACAATGTTGGTGAGGAAGTTCAGGAGATTTAAAAAAATGAAGGCAAGTAAGAGAAGAAATAGGGCCTACAGCCCAGTGAGGTCTTAATTAGTATTTTTAATTCTTTCATTTGAAGGCATAAATTTGAGTATTATTTTCTGTTCCCATGTTACCTTACATTTTATATTAACTAACTACCCCAACTTCTTTCTTTCATTCCTTCTTGACTTACTTTTCTCATTCATGGGTCCTTGAAAATTGACCAAAAAAAAAAAAAAATCTGTTTTGAGTTTGTTTTTTTCTCTGAGGGATTTAGTTGTTTTTCTTCTGAGAAGAATCACATTCTCTCCTGACCATATTGACAATTATGGTAGTTTCTTTCCAAACTTTTTTTGATATTTTCTTTCTGAAACCCATATCAATTTTATTTAGTTTTCTCTTATTCTAATTAATGTGTGTTCATGTTCAGTGAAGCACAACTATCATATGCAGTAAACAATTGTCATTTTCTTCCTGCTGCTTATTTCCAAGGAGCAATTAATATACTGTAGCTCCTCTGACACATAAAGAATATTTTGGTTTAAAAATCAATTAAAATCCTTTAATATAAAAAGTAACTTTTAAATATTGTTATGTAGCCATTGTGGTCAAATATCAACATGAAGAAGGCAACACATTTATATCTGTATAACTGAACAAAAGCTAGAATGGCAATGTTATTCTCTAAATGCTAACATATCATTATTTTATTTTACTTCATTTTACATAGGACCTTAATGTCAGATTTCTAATTCCATATTTTTTAATCATAAAGTTGAGAACACCAGAAAGAAAGGAAACATTAGATGTTTGTTTAGCATCGCATAGAACTAACACTGTCAAGCATTTGATTATGGAATTATTTTACATAATAATTATAGAATTATCTAACGTAAAATCATGACGTTAGATACTAAAAAGTTCCCAGTAAAATACATACACACATTTTCATTGTATTTTTCATAATATTTATGATAGTTAATTTTATGTGTCAACTTGATTAGCCATAAGGTGTCCAGATTAAACGTTATTTCTGGGTATATCTGTGGAAATTTTTCCAAATAGGGTTGGCATTTGAATTGGTAAAAATCGGTAAAGTAGATTGGCCTCCCCCATGTGTAGGTGGGACCAGCCAATTCTTTGAGAGCCTATATAGAACAAAAAGGCAGAAGAAGGCTGAATTCACTCCTTTTGCTTCCTGTCTGCTTGCTTGAGCTGGAACATCTCATCTCATCTTCTCCACACTTCAGGCTGGGATTTGCACCATAAGCTCCCCTGATTCTTTGGCTTTGGGACTCAGGTTGATTTAAACCACAGATTTCCTGAATATTCAGCTTGCAGGCTGTAGGTTGTGGTAGTTCTCAGCCTCCATAATTGCATGAGCCAATCTTTCATAAAAATAGATTTGTTTATATCTATCTGTCTAATCTATCTATCTGTCTATCTATCTATCTATCTATCTATCTATCTATCTATCTATCTATCTATCTATAACCAGCCATCCACCCATCCATCCATCCATCCATCCATCCATCCATCCATCCATCCTTCTGGCTCTGTTCCTCTGAAGAACACAAATATAATATTTTAATAAATTTTAATTTATTTCAACAATGTTTTCTGCTTGAACCTATGTCCCCTACTGGGGAAAAAAGGAAAGCCAAAGGTATATTTTAGGTGCCCTAAAACATCATGATAGCCTGAATAGCCACCCATATGAATTGACATAATTGCTAGCCCATGATTAGGGAAGTAGCCCATCTCTACCTTCATTGTCAATACTTGTACAATGAAATTCATGAAAGAAGTTGATGTAGTTAGAGTGGATCTTATTGGGTAGGCATCTAGAATAATATAAAAACAAGCAAACAAATAAATAAATCACACCTGCTTATGAAGCCACTCTGTTTCCTTGCTTAATGAATATATAATGTAGCTTCTTCATGAGAAGAATAAAAAAAGGTCCTGATCAGTGATTCAGTTTAAAGTACAGAAAATGTACCAACTAATTTTTTTAAAGACTTGTCAAGGGGAGTAGTGAGAGAAAAAGTACCAACTTTAATTCATCACAACTGTATTTAGTCTTAAAGTTTTATTTGAAGCAGTTTTATTGCCATTTGGTACCAAACGACATTTTCAAACTTTTAAAATTTCTCAAAGAATTAAGAATGCATAGCTGTATATGGGCAAATATAAGTCCTCTGGTTTCTATAACATACTACTCAAAAAAGAAAAGCCACACAGTCTGAGACCTCTTACTGTGGGAATCCACAGCAATATTGTGTATATTTTAATGAAAGTCTGTAGCATTCATTTTTATTTTGCATTTTGTTTCTGATTTTGTGTATGTTTGACATGTCACTTTCACATTAGCTTCTGAAATCCTCAGAGGCAAATCATCCTTAGAGTATGTCACTGTGCTTGCATAGGCTAGGAATTCAAGGAAGGCTGGTTGAACAGCAAAATGAAACAGAATTTTGCTTGGGTTCAGTTCATACCTATTCTCTCACATGCACTCACAAACTTTACTAGTGCCATAATAAGGAATTTAGAAACTGGATTGAAGGGGTATAGAACTAAATAAATTTTAAATAGTTATTTTTTTTTTGCCTTACCTAACTGGAGATGTTTGAAATTTAGGCTATCTTTTATTTAAAAAAAAAAAAAAGTTTAAATCAGATGATCCGAAGGTAAATGAAAAAGGAAAAACAAAAAACAAAAGAAAAAAATGAAAGAAAATAGGAGATTTCAAATTATATGAGTGAATTGTTTGAGTATTTTTTTTAGTTGAGTGGATAATTCAGTTAATTTTTTTTTTTAGTTGGCATAGAAAGAATTTAGGATTCTGCACATCTTAGACTTGTATATAGAGATATATAGGTGAGGTGGGATAAAGAATGAGGCAAGAATCCAAAAGGGAATGACACCAAATTTTACAGCTAAAGTCAGTCTTATGCCTGGTGGATAATTAGGTTTAAGAGCTGAACATGAAGGATTATTGATTTGTAGAGTAGAGGAGTTTTGATTCCTCTGACTTTCATATCTTCATACATTATTGAAAAAGGTCAAAGGTGTGTATGCTTAGGACCATTACATCAGCTTTACAGTTCTCTAGGGAACATAGTGAAGTTTGCTATTCAGCTACTACCATTCTCTACTCAGGCATTTGTTGGAGGAGAAAACAGGCATGTGCAGGGAGCAGAGGTCACTGCCATGTTCTTGTATAAGGTCATCCAGGTGCCCACAATAGAACACTAGGATCAACATATTTGCAGTGAGCCTTAGAAGGAGAAAAATGTTTGCCTAAGCCATGATTTTATCACACCAAACTACAGTCTATTTTTTTAAATAAGGAGATTATTTGGTGATAATGAAGATACTCAACAGTGCATGAGAACTTTTTACTATTCTTATAATTCAGGCTGGTCAATTTATGCATTCTCAACAACTATTAAATCTATACCCTTTCTCTTTTTTCTCTTTCTTCCCTAACTTTGTTTCATTTGGCCCAGTGTTTGACACGGTTTGCTTCATGTTTGCAAATTATATGTAATTTTACATCCAGATGTTGGACATGAACTCTGTGATCCTCTCTTGGGCTTCTATTGATATTACTCTAGTGAATAATTAATCAAACAGATCTTACAAAGAAACTGTTCTGGCTTTCCTTGAAGCGTTTCTCCTTTCAGAATATGCATAAACTACTTCCATATTAGTAAGTATATTTTCAGGATAGAATATAAATTAAATTCACATTAGTAATTTGTGACTTCCTTAAAGATGGGAAGCAGATGATTCTCATCTTTTTGAGCACACATTTAAATAAATTAATTAGATTTACTTTTATGTTAATTGGAATAGTTGATATAACCGAGTCACTAGCAGGCAAAGACTAAATAACGGTTTTCTGCTCTTAAAAAATTAAATATCATCTGCTCTCTAGAATTGTGTCCATTTTAGTGTTTAGTTTCTATACATGTTGATCTTCATAAGATGCTGCACAAAATTATTACTTGATATGAAGCATCATCCATATGTTTCCAAAAGCACAAAGTTATTTATCCTGTAAACACTACATTTTTAAAGGCTTTGCTTTTTTTGTTTGTTCCAGCAAGAAGTAGGGTGTTAGAGCAATAATAAAAATTAAAATTAATGGGAAACAAGAAGCTATCAAGTAAATACACTCTTAGCATATTGTTTTTACCTTCAATTTTTTACGATCTGGGGTTTGAAATATTTACTAGTGATATGGTTTGGCTTTGTGTCCCCACCCAAATCTCATCTCGAATTGTAATCCCTCGGTGTTGAGGGAGGAACCTGGTGGGTGGGGACTGATCATAGGGGAAGTTTCTCCCATGCTGTTCTCATGAGAGTGAGTGAGTTCTCATGAGATCTGATGGTTTTATAAGGGGCTATTCCATCTTCACTCTGTCTTGCCTGCTGCCATTTAAGATTTGCCTGCTTCTGCTTCCGCCACGATTGGAAGTTTCCTGAGTCCTCCCCAGTCATGTAGAACCGTGAGTCAATCAAACATTTTTCCTTTATAAATCACCCAGTCTAAGGTATTTCTTTATAGGAGTGTGAAAGCGAACTAACACAACTAGTTACTTCAAGTTGACAAATGGAGCAAAATACTGAGTTTGCGAAGATACATTTATATCATAATCCTCTAAGAGGATATTTACTTGCACGAACAAATTACTTAGCTTGAGGAACATTGCTGAGAAAATAAAAACAGAACAGGCCAGGCACGGTGGCTCACGCCTGTAATCCCAGCACTTTGGGAGGCCCAGACAGGCAGATCACGAGGTCAGGAGATCGAGACCATCCTGGCTAACACGGTGAAAACCTGTCTCTACTAAAAATACAAAAAAAATTAGCCGGAAGTGGTGATGGGTGACTGTAGTCCCAGCTACTCGGAGGCTGAGGCAGGAGAATGGCGTGAACCCAGGAGGCGGAGCTTGCAGTGAGCCGAGATCGCGCCACTGCACTCTAGCCTGAGCGACAGAGCGAGACTCTGTCTCAAAAAAAGAATAAAATAAAATAAATAACAGAACAAAACAGAGCTTCAGTTTTCTCATCTGCATAATGGAAATGATAAAATTTATCCCTCACAAATTTTAAATGAGAATGCTTTTTTACTTTTTTTTACTAACATAAAAGTAAATCTAATCGATTTATTTAAATGTGTGCTCAACAAGATGAGAATCATCTGCTTTCCATCTTTAAGAAAGTCACAAATTACTAATGTGAATATAATTTAAATATTATATATTATATACTTAGTATACATTTCCTTCTTGTTGCTTTCTCCTTCTGCTGAATGCTTAAATAAATAAATAATAAAATTAGATTCACAAGTGTTTAATCTCAGTTTCTCTGCAAACTCAATAAATGCTAGACATTTAGAAGTATAATTTCCCACCGTTCACAGAATAATATGATGTCTCCAAGTGAACATAGAAATAGATCCTTGTCTTAACTTCCTCTTATACTATCTATGTCACAATGCCAGGGAACCGTTTCTCATCTCGAACGGCACTCTACGGGTCTTGAATCTTGTTTGACACAGTGGAAGGTAATGCAGGGTGTCCTTTTGGGAAACTCTCTGCAGCTGAAAATATGCCAGTAAGCCTGAAAGTTTTCCTCGGATAACCTGTGAGAAATGGCAGCGAAATAGTTCAATTTCTCCATTTCTAGGAGATAGGAGGTGTGATAATTGGTCTTCTTCTATGTCAGTCATCACACAGACCATTTCCCACTCATTATAAACAGCTTAGGGGAGTTCTGGTTCTCCTCTAATCTAATCAGAAAAGTTGAGTAGAAGCTTAGGATTTCAACTATAATTTTATTAAAAGAAAAAACTGATGGCAATTTATAACTTAAAATAAAATATAGATTATGATACTTTTTTTTCAAAAATCTAAGCATTAAGACTTGTTATGTATTTGTTTTATATTGTTTCTTTTATGTTTTGTTTTGGGGTTTTATGCCTGTAAAATAAAGTATCTAAATTTGGTTTGGATTAGTGCATTGTTGAGGATGAATTTTTGTTCCAGGGAATTAATGGATGTAAAGAATATAATCTCACATGGAGTTAAAATACATCAGTTAAGTAATAGATCTAATTTTGATTAATTTTTATGCAGAACAAACTGGCTTATAATAAACCTTGTCAAAAAACCAAGGAACATTTTTAAATAATTGAAAATGAATGCAGCATATCAATCTATGGAGTGTAGTTCAACAAATCATTCTGTACATATTAGTTTTACAATGATTTTTCCATTGTTACCATTTCAAATTGATTTAGGTATTTCATAAAATGAGGGTATTTTATGAAATACTTTTGCCAGCCATAGAAATATAACTGTGTATGACTGTTAAAATTAATATCAAAATTGTATTAATGTATTTTAATATTAATGTATTTTATCAGCTTTGTAATCTTTATAAGTATACTTTTTCTTTAAGTAAATATATACTAAAATAGCATAATGATCAAATATCTGATTCACAAATAATACTGTCATTTAAAAGATAACAGTGGAATAGTAGATTGTGGCTTATTCATAAAATAATCACTTTCATATTCTCTTTTTTGAAAGTAGCTTTGTAAGAGTTGTGAATGTGCTGAAATTTGTTTATGGATTTTGGTGATTTTTTGTAACAGCAAGGAAAAGTATGCAAATTTAAACCTTTCTTCCGTATCACTCAGTTATTTTATTACAAGAAGGCAGGTTAATGACTGCAAACAGCTTTACAGCCTGACACAGGTTCTCTGCTATTACTCAAAGTACAAAACTCAGAATTAATATTACTTGAAAATCTACTGGTTGAGGGTAAAAAATGCTGCTTCTATGTTTATATTTCCATGACACTATACCAAATTCAGATCATTGGAGCCAGATATATTGGTCCTGAACTCATAAATGTTGAATAATTTAAAAGACTAAGCTAAAAAGCTGATTAACAGAAGAAGTTGAAAAAACACAATAAAATATGAAACAAACATCTGTATTCAAACTTCAAAAGTTTCAACTAACATTATGTCTCTCAAAGTTTCAAGTCTACCTTGTGCCAAAGGCCTCAGTGAGTCTTTGTCTACAATCCAATTTAGTTTCTCCAAAGGGAGAAATTACCATTAATCTTTAATTTACCTTTCTGTGCATTTTAAAATAGAACATTTTAAAGTTTTCTTTATGAAGAAAATTTTCATGTTAATCCACATTCTCAATGCCTTTGGACTGGAAAAAGTATAAATTAAGGATCAGAAAGTTAGTTATGAAAGTAGCTTATGTAATTCAGATTTTGTTTACTGAACCATGAATCAAATATATTTATTTACACTAAAATACATTTTCCACTTCTTTAATTTTATGCTAATATTATATAATTATAAAATCATTACCACTTATATATAAGTATTGTATTAGAAAAAAGTAGCACAAGAAATTTTAGAGTGAAACATATAAAATTTCTATGTTCGGTGAAGAAAAATTATCAAATAGCTGCAATTGATATATATGTGTAATTTAACCTAATACAAAAAATTCTGCCAAGTATATACTTCTTTCTAGCTTAAAAAATATTTTCTCCAAGGCAATTTCTCATTTGTTAAAGATAATATTTTTGGATTCTTAGCCAGTCCAAAATCCTCGCCATGCATTAAACATTGAATCCACACAAAAAAAGCCTGTGACTGGGAACAGTTATCAGCTCCATTTTACGGGTGAGAAGCCTGACACTTAGATCCTACACAATATGCCCAAGATCACACAGAAAAGAGGGGAGAAAGGGGCCAGAATCTAGTCGGTCTGGCTGTGAGACCTGCTTTCTCATCTACCACAATAAAGACAGGTCAGGTAGTATTATGGTCAGTTTTACTATAATGCTTGTTTTGAAAATGTGAATTTGTTTCAGTGTAATCAATAGATTAGGCAACAATTTGAGCACACTGAAAATTTTATTTGTTGATACGTGATTTTGACAGAACAACAGTAGATGAGCACAGAACACTGAGCCCAGCTGAACCAAGCCAGGTAGGCATACACAAATTGCACACACTCACGTACTTTGAACTTCTATCAGATACCGTCCAATTTCACATAACCCTCCTTCCTCCACCACTTCACAATAACTGAAAAGTTGTAACCCTTCCAACAACCACGAGCAAACCTTAAATCTTTTTCAAGGTAAAGTGCCAAATGTGTTATGGCTTATATGCATTTCTTAATTATTGAACTATAAAATTGTGCTTCAATTTTTATGATCTTATGTGTCTATGTTTGTTCTTTCTTTCTTACTGGTGACATTTTTGAATGTTGTGTCCCTAACCCCACTTTCCCCATAAACCCTGTGATTTTTACTTGTCAATTTTTATCATGCAGTGATTTTTAGGAACACATATGTCCTACTATAACAGAACTGACTCTATCCTATTTCTTTTCTTTCTTTCTTTTTTTTTTTTTTCTTGTTTTAGAGACAGGGTCTTGCTCTGTCATCCAGGCTGGAATTCAGTGGTATGTTCATAGCTGACTGTAACCTCAAATTCATTGGCTCAAGAGATACTCCTACCTCAGCCTCTGGATTATCTAGGACTACCGGAATAAACCCTATGCTTGGCTAACTTTTTAATTATTTGTAGAAATGAGGTCTTGCTATATGACTACGCTGGTCTCGTACTTCTGGCCTCAAGTGATCCTCCCACCTCTGCCTCTCAAAGTGCTGGGATTATAGGCATGCGCCACCATGCCAAAGACAGTATCCTATTTCATAAGAAGAGGGATAAGGGGGTAGTTGTTTTTTTTTAACTTATCTGTTAAGCATGGAACAAGGCCTTAAAATTGGTTCTTGTAATTCCAAACACAGGATTGTTTATACTACATCCTCCTGATATTTATACCTAAGTAGTAATAGAGCTAAATAAACATCATTATATCAGAGTTGTTGCATTTTTTTTTGAAGTCACACTTACAGCACCTTCCAGTACCTTCTTAAATTGTCTATACATTAGTATTTTTATCTTGTTAAATTCTAGAAGCATATACTTAACCCTAGGAACCAGGGCTGGTAAACATAAGATATTTATAGACATTAATGTACCAGGGTTTTCAGAATAACCCCAAATTACCATTTGAATTAAACTGTTAATATATTTCATTTGTTGTCATACAGATAATCACTGGGTTTAGAAATCAGGTATCACATAGTTGATTAGTATCTTGAGAAGATGGCATATGTAATAAAGAGTATAACTCCATTTTTTGATGTTTGGCTGTTAATGGCTTTCAATCCCTACATCTCCCAAGTCCTGGGAAAGCCAATAAAAAAGCCTAGGAGCTCCCTCCTTTGACACAAATGGAGAGTTCAAACTACACAAGCCCCGGTCCACATACAGGAACCCTCACCCCAATACCACCTTCTATCCAGAATAGAAGTTGAAGCCAATCTCCTCTTCCTCCTCTTTGGCGTTTATTTTATTTATTTATTTATTTATTTATTTATTTATTTATTTATTTATTTATTGAGACGGAGTCTTGCTCTGTCGCCCAGGCTGGAGTGCAGTGGCGCGATCTCGGCTCACTGCAAGCTCCACCTCCTGGGTTCACGCCATTCTACTGACTCAGCCTCCCAAGTAGCTGGGACTACAGGTGCCCACCACCTTGCCCAGCTAATTTTTTGTATTTTTAGTAGAGACGTGTTAGCCAGGATGGTCTTGATCTCCTGACCTCGTTATCTGCCCGCCTCAGCCTCCCAAAGTGCTGGGATTATACGCTTTGGCTGGCATTTTAAAGCCATTTTCTGACTTGCATTGGAGCTTGTCCTTGTCTTCCCAGAAAGTCTCATTATATGGGTGGTAAATCTCTTCATAGAACTCTCTCAGTGCATTGGTGGCATCACCAGCCTCAACATCCAAGCAAGTTTGATGTGGAGGGACCCCACCCCAATTCTGTAGGGTGACCACAAAAGCATAAAACCATTCTAACAGTATTCTAATATTGGACTTCCTTTTAGTCAAATAAAAAAATATGTCTTATCTCTTTAAAATGCTTTTCAAAACCATTTCACTGCCAATTACAGAAGCATGGCCTGAATATCATATACTGCATTTCGGTATAATGGAGAGAGGGGAGATTCTCATCAGATATGGGAAGGAAGTTTATAGAAGAAAGAAAAACTGTCACTGGATGGCAAAATCATACCCTAAGCTAATTTATGTGTCTTAAACCATAAAATAACTTAATACATGTAAATTATTTATTATATTTTACAGCTCCTATAAAATAAAAGTTTAAATTAGGACATTGAGAAAATATATCTTCAATTGGTTTTTGTGCCTGCTACATAACAATAACCCATAAAGCAGAAAAGAAATCAGATCCCTCACAACCACTAAAAATTTATAGGCATGTTAAACTGACTAGGGGAAATATTTATGTGTGAATGTATATACGTGACTAGCTAGAGAGAAGTGTCCCTCAAAAGGGCAGGAGAATGCATGGTACAATGGTACACTGTATATATCTAGAGTTACATGAAAACTCTGATTCACAGAGGACATCTGCATTTCAAAAAGAGTGAAAGGAGAGAAATAAAGTAAGTCTTTTAGGAATGTAGGATGAGCTAATTGAAAATAGAGTATCAGTTTAGAAACACGGGCAAGTGCACATCAAAAAACAGCTTGCAATTTGGGCAGGATAATTGTGCAGTTACAGTCATTAGGAAGTCCACTGAGGCACGTGTCAGGTTGTGGGCAAGAAATTATTGAGAATTTAAACGAATGCATGGAAATTTGTACCCACAGAATAAAAAAGGACAACCTATATGAATTAAATTGTAAATTATATAAAGTACATTGAATTACAGATTTCTGTATAATTTAAATTAATACATGGAAATGTATAACCACAGAATAATAAAAGACAACCCTGTTAGAGATTAAGTCTGGCTTACAGATTTTTATATATATATATGTAATATATTACATATATATCTGTAATATATCTGTAATATATTAAAGTGAAAGAAAAAGTGAGGAAAGTGAAACAACAAAGCTGGCACATATCAACATTCAATTGCTTCAAGATAAGTGATCAGGTCAAGCCTGTGCACCTAACTTATATGTAATTTATTTAATCGGAGTCCATCCCAATGCAGCATAAATGGTGATTCATTTAAAATGATAAAATATGAGTTAAATTGAGTATTGAAGGCTATGAGAAGGAAGAGAATGGAGAAAGCTGGCAATAAGAAGAATATATGATAAGTCACAACTTTTCTGATAGTACTACTTTGGAAATGAAGTTATGAATGTCAGCTACTAGATTCAAGTATACAAATCATGATAAAAGTGTTCTGGATAATCAAAGCTGGGAAATAAATGTTACCGAGACTAGTTAACACTTGTTTTAAAAATAACTTTTCATGCGCTGTGTCTCAGACTGTTTCTGGTGCTATAACAAAACACCATAGACTGAGTAATTTATAAACAATGAAATGTATTTCTCACAGTTCTGAATGCTGGAAAGTCCAAGATCAAGGCACCAACGGATTCTGTGTGTGGTGCATACAAGTGTGACATGGTTCCGAGATGGTGCTTTGTTGCTCTGTCCTCCGGAGGGGTAAATGATGTGTGCTCACACAGCAGAAGTGACTGAAGAGCAAGAGGGTCAAAATCTGTTCCTCAAATCCTTTTATAAGGGCAATAATCCCACCATGAGGGCTGAGCTTTCATAACCTAATTATACCTCAAAGACCCCACGTGTAAGACCATCACCTTGGGGATAAGTTCCAACATATGAGTTTTAGAGGGACACAAACAGACAAACCACAGCAGGTGGCTTCTTAGAAATACATTTCAGGATTAGATTCGTTCATCATTCTTTAGAACTGAATACCAACTGAATTGAATAAAATCCAGTTCAATACATTTATGACTAAATCCATGGCCCATATGTAAGGCTATTAATCACTATCATTATGCAGCAGGCATGCTGCAATTATTAGTACCATTATTTTGGAAATGGGAAAGTAAAGACGAAGCCACTTGACCATTTTGGAAATGCTCTCTAGGACTTAACATTTGAACAGAACATCAAGGTGCTTGTTAACTTTTGGTGCCAGTACTATGTTGAATTTGATTCCTTTAGAATGATATGGCTTGACAGCTGTCGGGATGTCTGAGGGTGAGGTGTACGGAAGTGACATTGACACCTCTGAATAGTTTTCAACACTCTTTCTAGTCCAAGAAAACCTGTGTGTTAGGAAGATAACACCATGCATCTCAAAGGTTAATGTATTTGATAAAATCCCTTCAGGCCATAATGTAGAAAAAAAGTTATAGCATTTAAAATAAAGAAAAAACAAACATATGCTATGTTCAGCATTTGAGATCATCTAAATGTGAGCAACTTCCAACACAAATCAAATACTACAAATCACCCCTTCAAATTTTTCCTTCAGAGTCTCCCTTTTCTGAAATGCATTCCAATTGATGAATATTTCTCACAACAATGCTTTTTTCACTTTGTTTCATTTCAGAGTAAATTATTCAGAAAGATGCATGTTTCATCTTTTGAAAGATATTTGAATCAGGCTTCTGTTGGGCCTGGAAAAGCAAAGCAAAAAAAAAGAAAAAGAAAACCAAAAAACAAAAAACAAACAAAAAAGAATGTAATGAATGGCATAATTTTACTCTTGTTCATTTTTTATATCAAGAATAATTTATTCTTTGTTTTGCATAGTAGAAAGGTCACTTAAGTGGTCCCTCTTTTAAAAATAAAAATATAAGGAATAAGTGTTTTACCAATTGGTTGACATTAGAATAAAGAAAAGCCCTCTCTTTTTATATTTTGCTTTTTATTTTAAGCAAATTTGACTCATTTCTTAGTATGGAGAGGTATATGATAGAAGTGGCCTCAAACCTAGATGATTTACTTGGGTATATACCCAGTAATGGGATGGCTGGGTCAAATGGTATTTCTAGTTCTAGATCCCTGAGGAATCGCCACACCTACTTCCACAATGGTTGAACTAGTCTACAGTCCCACCAACAGCGTAAAAGTGTTCCTGTTTCTCCACATCCTCTCCAGCACCTGTTGTTTCCTGACTTTTTAATGATCTCCATTCTAACTGGTGTGAGATGGTAACTCATTGTGGTTTTGATTTGCATTTCTCTGATGGCCAGTGATGATGAGCATTTTTTCATGTGTTTTTTGGCTGCATAAATGTCTTCTTTTGAGAAGTGTCTGTTCATATCCTTTGCCCACTTGTTGATGGGGTTATTTTTTTCTTGTAAATTTGTTTGAGTTCATTGTAGATTCTGGATATTAGCCCTTTGTCAGATGAGTAAGTTGCACAAATTTTCTCCCATTCTGTAGGTTGCCTGTTCACTCTGATGGTGGTTTCTTTTGCTGTTGCAGAAGCTCTTTAATGAGATCCCATTTGTCAATTTTGGCTTTTGTTGCCATTGCTTTTGGTGTTTTAGACATGAAGTCCTTGTCCATGCCTATGTCCTGAATGGTATTGCCTAGGTTTTCTTCTAGGGTTTTTATGGTTTTAGGTCTAACATGTAAGTCTTTAATCCATCCTGAATTAATTTTTGTATAAGGTGTAAAGAAGGGATCCAGTTTCATCTTTCTACATATGGCTAGCCAGTTTTCCCAGCACCATTTATTAAATAGGGAATCCTTTCCCCATTGCTTGTTTTTCTCAGGTTTGTCAAAGATCAGATAGTTGTAGATATGCAGCATTATTTCTGAGGGCTCTGTTCTGTTCCATTGGTCTATATCTCTGCTTTGGTACCAGTACCATGCTGTTTTGGTTACTGCAGCCTTGTAGTATAGTTCGAAGTCAGGTAGTGAGATGCCTCCAGCTTTGTTCTTTTGTCTTAGGATTGACTTGGCAATGCGGCCTCTTTTTTGGTTCCATATGAACTTTAAAGTAGTTTTTTCCAATTCTGTGAAGAAAGTCTTTGGTAGCTTGATAGGGATGGTGTTGAATCTATAAATTACCTTGGGCAATATGGCCATTTTCATGATATTGATTCTTCCTACCCATGAGCATGGAATGTTCTTCCATTTGTTTGTATCCTCTTTTATTTCATTGAGCAGTGGTTTGTAGTTCTTGAAGAGGTCCTTCACATCCCTTGTAAGTTGGATTCCTAGGTATCTTATTCTCTTTGAAGCAATTGTGAATGGGAGTTCACTCATGATTTGGCTCTCTGTTTGTCTGTTATTGGTGTACAAGAATGCTTGTGATTTTTGCACATTGATTTTGTATCCTGAGACTCTGCTGAAGTGACAAGCAAATGAATTTTGCCTCAAGTACAATTGACTTCCTTTCTCCCCTTAGGAGGTGGATGCTTTGCATCCTCTAAGCAACTTCATTTCAACCTTCCTAAATGCACTATATATGTCTCTCTTTGGGATGCTCCTTTGTACTAGTTGTAATATTTTACTGGTCCCCTCATTAATTAGTATGTGTTAAACAGACTCTTTGGCATTTGTTCATTTCATATCTGTATGAGAGTTGTGATTTTTTTTACCTTTTAAAAATATTATTTAACGCTACATATTTAGATCAAGTCTGGACCTTGTCCTCTTCTAGTCCTTTTTATCTCAGAAGTACCACCATCCATTATTTTATCAACATACGTATTCAGGAAAGTTAGGATCATCTTCAGCTTCTTTTCTCCCTTCTCTCCTCTCTTCAGTTCATATCAAATCTACTCCCAAGATTTCCCTTAACTGGTTATCCTATTTAAATACATGAGCTCCTAATGGACAGTGAGTCTAGGCTTAGTGTGTTTAACATTTATGTCACTTATATATTCTTCGAAAAATTTTAAAATGCTTTTCAATGAGCAGTATTCCAAATAGACATCTTCATATTCAATCAATTTCCTGGTTCTATATATTTTACTTTCTAAGTATCTCTTCAAATCATCTGCTTTGTTCTATCTCCACAATTACCCTAGCTGCAGTATGGACAAAATGCTGGAGTTGAGCATCACTGGAAGGAAGACTCAGTTAAAAGAAAAAAAGAAATCATTGTTACATTTAAGAAGATGGACATGGCATGATTTGATACAGATTGGCATGATGTAAGTTTATGCATGTGGCAGGACGGCTGTCTCAATTTGTACTTGTATTTGTGCAGACATACTTGTAGGACAAGAGAAAAGAGAGCCAATAGATCATTTAGCACTTGCTGGAAGAGAGTAATTTACTAATCCATCATTTCATGGGGCTCATGGAGTATCAGAACAAAAGCCAAATTTTGGCTGAATGTACCTAGCTGTATACTGCAAAGAAATATCATTTTTTTTATTACTTTGACAGAAGCCAGTCCAAATAGCACACAGAAAAGAGCAAATTGCTGTCTACATTTGACTGTGTCCTGGAAGAGTAACTGAGTGCAATATCTTCTGAGAAATATAAATAAAGACGTGTAGTTACACTATTGCTTAAAACATGCATGAAACTGTACGGTGTATCTTTTAAAAATGGAAAAGAAATCATTTTTAAAAGACTGAATTAATTTTGTTTGGTTTGGTTTGGTTTTTTTTGAGACAGGGTCTTACTCTGTCATCCAGGCAGGAGTGCAGTGGGAATATAATGTCTCACTGCAGCCTCGACTTCCCTGGTTCAAGTAATCCTCCCACCCCAGCCTCCAAAGCAGATGGGACCACAGGCATGCGCCACCACACATGGATAACATTTAAAAATTTTTTTATAGTGACAGGGTCTCCCTATGTTGCCCAGACTGGTCTTGAATTATTGGGCTCAAACAATCTTCCCACCTCAGCTCCCCCAAAATACTGGGATTACAAGTGTGAATCACAGTTCCAGACCAATTTTGTTCTTAATGCCAATCCATGTTTTAATTACTCAGTATATTGTTCAAAACTAGTTGTCACCTGATCTCTGCTACTAAGGTGTAAGAATATTCAGTAGCAAATACATCAGAATTTTCAAGCTTATATTTTTAATCTATTGAAAGTGAGATGAAGGAAGAAAGACTGGAAACTAAGGTGTTACACATTGATAAGTTGTCATATATTTGAGTGTCCCTTTTGGTTAATGTATGTGGTCATAAAGATATTATTCCTTGGTATTTTTTAAATTAGCTTTCAGAAATGTGTTTATGAGGGTTTTTTGTTTCGCTTTGTATTTACTTGTTTGTTTTTGGAGAAACAGACAAACAAAAAATTCCTTCCTTACATAAATTTAGAAAGAGCTGAGAGGTTCCTAAGATGGCTACATGTGTAAAGTGCACAATAATATCAGTACCAACCCTGTAAGGAGAAGGAAGTTTAATGAATCAAGAGAGTGTCATGAAAATATTTTCTTTTTCTTAGACATGCACTGGATTTTACACTTTCATGGATGAGGTAGCTCATGGTTATGATGGATGTTTTTTTCCCAATTATTCTCTCCATGTTTTGTCTCTTGTTTTGAATAAGAAATCTAGCAAAAGATTCACGTGGAGAAGAATTGCATGATTACAGTTTTCTTGGCTGATTGAGAATGGTAAGGTAGCAAATTAACAGCTTTTGTCTGTTTCATTACAGTAAACATTTTAAAGCAGGGCTATCACTTATGAGTGTACTAGTTTTTCCTTTCACAAGAGTGTGCAAGCAAGTGGATGAGTGACAATTAAAATCCAGTCCATGTTGTGCTTGCAAAGACAGGCATCTTGGTGAATAATTCCAACTGAGCAATGCATACTTTTTTCTTTAATTCGCACAGTCTGTCAGTGGCCCTGTCTAAGGCTCGGAGCTATGCTTTAACATATTTTTCAGGTTTTAAAAAATAGTTCCAATTTAGTATATACATCCCCAGAAGACAACTCTAAAAAAAAAAGATTCAAAAGATAAGTTTAGATTTTTTAGTGTCTGATTAGTTTCATCATGTTTAGATTCAATTAAGCTATTTACAATTACATTTTTGCATGGCACAGATTTTTAACTTTGTATAAAATTTGTGATTCTTTAAATCCTGTTTTCAGTTTTACATTGTTTATTTATACTTAGTAATTAATAAGTTGTTGGTAATCATGTTTAATTTGGGTCAAAAATTACACAGAAAACCATGAACAGCTGCACTCTCTTTTTATAATGTCCATGTAATTCAAAATTCAAATCTATGCTAAGATAACATCACAAATCTATAAAATATCATAAGCTCTAAAAATTATTTTCTTTGCTTGAGAAACCTAATAAGTTCAAGTCTTAGAAATTAGAATATAAATGTAAACATTTTGTTTATAACACTGCAAAGGAGAAAAAATATTGCAAAATATTACAAAATTAAAAACATTTTGTGTGAATTTGTGCTTTGGCTGATTAACAAGACTGTTTCTATTCAAGTTTAGAATTATAGGTTTTTTACAGGGTATATTTTAACGATTTTATCTTCTGGAGCTTGCAGTTAGTTGAAGCAAACACATTAAGTAGCACAAATTTTCTTTTCTCCTGTTGACTATGCCTTCTTGACTCTGGAATTTGGGATATCAGCCTTATATCCCAACAATTCACATACAGTAAGCAAAGATATTGCCACATCATTTTTTGTACATTGGAGAAAATGTTAGAATTTTCACAGACATTGTGAACGAAGAGAGTGTAGCTGTGCACACTATTTTCCATGTAATTTTTGACCCAAATTAAAACATGATTACCTAACAATTTATTAATTACTAATTATAAATAAACAATGCACAAATGAAAGCAGGATTTAAAAATCACAAATACTATAGAAAGTTAAAAATCTGTATCATGTTAAAATTTAATTCAAAATAGACTAACTGAATTTAAACATAATGATACCAATCCAACGCTAAAAATCTAAACTGATCTTTTGAATCTTTTTTTCAGAGTCAAGTCTTCTGGGGATATTTACATTAAACAGGAACTATTTTCCACAAATATGCCTTCTTAATTCCAAAAGTGCTTTGCTTCATAGTTGTCAAAATTTATTGCACATTATTTCTTATGGCACAAGAGTATTGTTTAAGTTAATTATTCAGCTGACTTTATACAAGGAAACCTGGAGCAAGGAAAGCTCAAATACATTCCTGGCTGTTAGTGGAAATGAAAATTTGGGAGAACTTTTTTTTCCTTGGCATTCTCTTGTCTCAATGTCTGTTCTTTCTTTCTCTTCCTTTCCTTCCTTCCTTCCTTCCTTCCTTTCCTTTGTTTCCTTCCTTTCTTTCTTCTTTCTTTTCTCTCTGTCTCTCTCCTCCCTCTGTCTCTCTCTCTCTCTCCCTCTCTGCCAGCCCTCACGACCAGGCGATTCATCATCTAAGAAGTTACTAGTCCTCCAAATGTTCCCATCCAGCACTGCTAATGTCATGCTGCCCTTCACAGATAGAAGTCTGCTTGACAATTGTCTGTAAGACCTAAGATAGCTATTTGCTAAACTGATAAACTAATTTCCACTAGTGTCTATCAAAAAAAGCCCATGATAACAATATGCACTTTAATATTTCTTTATATAAACAATACTCTGTATTTCTTTCATTAATTAATTACTCTAATGTTGGGTTTTTCATGTGTAGGGGAGAAATTTTTTTAGCTTCTAGGATCAGATAGCATAGTTGACCAATTACAAAACGATAGAGTTGATCTTAGAAGTAAATCACTCATCTGGAGTCAAAAAGACTCAGCTCCTGGTCCTAGCTCTAACACTATATGACTGTGAGATCTTGGCAAGACACTGAACCTCACTGATTCTCAATATCCTCATTTCTAAACTACTGAGAAACTTGGATGTGGTGATTTTTCAAAACTTTTTTTCTGTAGCAATTAAGATGTGTTTTTTTTTTTTAGTCCATAAAAGTATTAATCCATCTCCATAAAAGAGGGATTGAATATGTGCTGTATAGTCATTTCATTCCAATCAGCTCAATTCAAGGACCAAAAGGTCATATGTTCAAATTCTATTATTTAGGCAATCAGAGTATTACAAAATGCATATTAAAAGAAAACAAATATGCTCAGAAACGCTTAAATAGCTTTCAAAACTGCATGGCTAGTGAATTTGAATGGTGAAAAAACTTGAGGTTTCTGATTTCTAATTCAACCAAGGTTAAAGTGAAAAAGTTATATTCTGAGGCAGATTTCCAGAGATGATTGCTGAGTCTCCACAAGAGTTAGCACATGTGCCTGCTTAATGATTTGTTAATGCCAAATCCACTATAAAGAAAACGTAGCAGTGCTGGCTATAATGTAAGCAGTTGGCTATTGTGCTTGTGAAGTGCATTGTGACTGCTCTTACCAGCATGTCCTGGCACTCTGACTTTTTTTTTTAATAGATTCAGTATTTGCCTGCATTAATTACAAAGGATTTTATGCCCACGGAAAATTCTTTATACAATTGTTGAGGCCAAAATTGGGGTTCAGGAGGGGAGATTTCAGGTAAATAGTTGAGGAAAATGAACTTCATGGAGGAATGAACAGTAGTTAGAAATCCAAATTGAGCCTAATCACTTCACAGTGGAAATGGATAACAGCACTACAAAATCTTTCTCCATATCTATCCAAATGGAAAACTGCTTCTTTACTAACTCTATGAAAACCTGTGAAAGTCAGAGATTCCACACAAGGGTCAAGAAAATGGAGGCAATACTTTTTTGTGTCAGTAGATGGGACCTGGACGCACCTGGTTTAATTAATCATATTTCTCATACACTGTGCATGATTTTCATTGTCTTAGACAAGGATTTTGTCCTGAATACTTAACATATTGATACAATTTTCTGTTCCCTTTATTACCAATCTCTATAGCCATTCCCTTCCCACCTCATAGGCAACCATTCCAATATAGATACTGTATATTTATTATTGCTTTGTGATTTTGAAAAATGTGTACTCTTTTGTTTGACTATATAATTAACATACACGAGTGGTATTGTGTCACATATTGTTCTAATTATTATGTACTATTTTGTAATTTTACACAAAACCATATTTTTATTTGGTCTCTATTTTGTTGTATGTATACCTGGGACATTATCATTTCACTGTGGCCTGGCATGCATCTACTACATATTGTCTACCCACTCCTCCAGAAATGGATACTCAGATTGTTTCTATTTTTGTACCACCATGAACAGCACTGTCATGAACATCTTCATGTATGTCCCTTATAGACCTGTGTAGTAATTTTAGGGGGACATGAAGCTGGAGCAGAATTGCTACCTAAGAGCATATGCATCTCTTTGGCTATGCCAATTTATAATCCCATGGTTTATGGTTGTGAGGATTCTTAAGCCTGTGTCTCCATTCAACATTTGACATCATCCAGCTTTCTAATTATAGCTAGCATAAAAGGTTTAAACTGATATGTCCTTGTCCTAATTTGCATTCATCTGATTTCTAACAAATTTCAGCATATGCTTAATTTATTTTATTTTATTTTATTTGAGATGGTCTAACTCTGTTTCCAAGGCTGGAGTGCAGTGGTGCAATAATAGCTCACTGTAATCTCGAACCCTTGGGCTCAAGCAATTATCCTACCTCAGCCTCTCCAGTAGCTAGGACTATAGGCACTCAGCACTACACACGGCCAATTAAAAAAAAATATGTAGAAACAGGATCTCACTAAGTTGCTCAGTCTGGTCTCAAACTCCTTGCCTCAAGTGATCCTCCTACCTTGGCTTCCCAAAGTTCTGGGATTATAGGCATGAGCCACTGTGTCCAGCCTGAGCATTTCTTCATATGCTTGTATGCCTTTCATATTTCATGTTTTATAATTTAACTTGTTGATTTGCAACTGTGCTGCATTTTTTCTAGACATAGGTCCCTTGTTGGTTTTAGGCATTCCACATATCTTCTTCCAGTATATCATCTTTTAAATTCACTAGTGCTATTTTCCCCATTACCCTAATATATCTATTAATACATGAAGGCTACACTGTTAGAAAGAAGTGGGATAATTTATATTTCCACAACATGTCTCATGGAAGGAATTGAGAGAGACGCTGACTTTTTGTGTTACAGGTCCTAAGTTTGTAAAATGTATCAGATATCTGAAGTAGCCTACATAAAATCTCTCCTGCCTACTAAAGAGAGTAATTGGAAATGCTTACTTCTTGGATATAATTAAATTCATCAAGTTGTTGCTGATTACTTTTGAAGTTCTTTCATACTCCTACATTTTTGTACATTAGCTTTATCATTTTGCCTGCATTATTAAATCAGAATCCAATGTTGAATGTGATATTGAATAGAAATCTACTTTTACATTTCTCTAAATAGTTAACTAGTTTCGGTGACACCACCCATTAACCAATCCATTATTTCTCATTGATTTGTCTTGTCCCCTCTAATATATATAAAGCTATGGAAGTGAGCTTTTTATTTCGTCTGAACTTTTTTTTCCTCCTGTTGGCCTTCTACATGTTTGTACTCCCAGAACCTGATAGGGCATCCTGCGAGTATGTATGCAATTTGCTAATAAAATTCAAAGAATGCAGGGTATTTGAACAAAAGCACCTCTGTGTAGTTTTGTGCTACAAACTGAGGGAATCTGATTCGGTCTTTGCACCTCCTAAACATTGGCATTATTCATCTAAACTTAAAATTACTTGTTGTCAGAAGATATCTTACTCACTAGACACCTTCTTAACAAAGCCTCTGCTAGATGGAAATTACTCAGGCAACTTCAGTTCTAAGTTGTTTTTACAGTCATGTATAAGGAAAATAAATATGTTGAATTATCCAAGAGAACAACAGAAAGAGAAAGTGATTTATTTTGTTCCAAAAAAAAATAAAGTGTGTTGAAGATCATCTCAGTGTCAAAGGGATTAAGAGGACAAATAACAGGGGGAGAAGATTATCTCATTCTCCTTTCCAACTGGGCTGGGTTCACCTTACCAGCCCAGCATCAGTGGCAGCAGGACAGGTTTTATAGGCTGTTTCTCTTCACTATTTATAGAGGTGTGGTGCCTGGAGCATTTCATGATCATTTTTATTTGCACCAGTCAACCCTCATTAGCCTACTTTCCTAGGACAATAGAATTATAAAATCACTATGTCAGTCTGCCCTATCCTTTCCCACTAATAACTTCTGATCCCAGAGGCTAATTTCAACCAGACCTGGCAGAGTGGCAAAGGGCTTATCATTTCTGTAAAAACAAAGGCTCTCACAGGAAACTATGGCAGCCCTCATACCCCGACCCACCCATAGACCTAATACCAAGATAGGCTGAGCTAAAAGCCTAAAGTGTGCAAATCAATTGGATAGAAATTTGCTGAGTGAACTTGAAAATAACCTAATTTCAGAAAAGGGTGTTCAATTGAAATAGTCAAAAGTATATTTAACAAAACCCAGGTCTGAGAGCCTGCTCACATAATCCAGCAAAATTATTTTTTATTACTTAATTAATAAATATAAAAATCTTTTAAAGCCCACCTCAGTTTTCTCATTAACCAGAATCATATATTGCAAGTTTTAAAAAATTATTATTACAATGTAAAAAAGAAGGAATATATGAAAATTATAATTAATTTATTGCTTTTTTAACTATTTTTGAAACTACTAACTTTGAAACTTGACTGTGAATATTAATTCCCCTAACTACTTTTTCATATGTCCTAACTCCCTTTTCTACTGTATTTTCCTAAAATATTTATTTTTTTGTGATCATGAGTCTATAATGAGTCTTTTAAACAAACTTTTATAATATTTTCTTGTTTTTCTGATATTTATGGTGATGAGCAACCCTCAATTAACCCTGGATTTTTTTGTACTTCTAAATATCTGATATTTCTGTGTCTTATGTTGTTTTGCTGAGCTATTTTTAAATTATATTTTCATACCCAATAGTCATGTATCTTCAACCAATAATTTTCCATATAAAGCAATGATATTTTAGCTATACTTATTGTCTCTTAAACAAAAACACTAATTTTAAGAACCTGTGTTTGTAAGAACAGTGTTGTCTTTCTTATTTGGTTTATATTTGACTTCATAAATATACTTGATCTTAATTATACTTTCTGTTTACATAACATAAGGCTTTGACTGAATGAGGGTCATTGGGAACCATCTCTCCATTTCTCTAATGCATATATAAAAATATTATGAAGACTGATACATTATTAGGAAGAATTTGGGCTAACCTACATATGATACATATGGGGAGCAAGAGCTTCTTTGGGGAAAATTGATGGAAATGCTGACCTGTGGTGTGAGAGTTTCAAAGTTATTAAAATAGTCAGATGGCTGAAACAGCCTCTATCAGGGCTGTTGCCAAGAAAAGGTCACAGAACTGATAAAATAGAATTCACCAAGAGAGCAGGAGAGAGGACTTTTCCACTGTGGACTGGGGTGCAAATGGAATTGTAGTTCTGAGACTGCAGTATCTCTGAGATCCAAAGTTTTTCTGACCTAAGCTTCCTGATATTCCAGGCATATGCCTTTTGGGAATGTCTGTGTTGTAATACTGAAATTAATTTTATAAATAAGTATACTGAGAGAAATATCATTTCTTGCTCATAAAAAGCCACTGTGGTCTCCGTTAAGGTTTCAGTGTCAGGAGTGATGGCAGCATCAGAATGAGAGGCATAGCCTGAACCATAGAGGTTTTATCTTCAGGATTCCACCAGGTAGTATCACTGTGTTATGCTACCACCAGCAGCAAGGGGAAAGGAGCATGTCTTAGAAAGGGTCAGAATTTGTAGTTAGTTTTCATTTTGGTTTTATAACAGTAGATTTTCTCTGCCAGTGGCAATAATAGTAAAGTTCCAAATTGAAAAACAATGAGCAGCCGGGGGAGAGGTAATAGGATTCTTCAACTTTCATTGGCTAGGCAAGAATAACTAAGAATGCTCTTTGGATATACGTAGGCATTATTTAGATTTGTTTTTTCTCCTCTCTCCCTCCCTCCTTCCCTTCCTTCCTTCCTTCCTTCCCTCCTTCCTTCCTTCTATCCATACCCATCCTTCCTATTGGCATTTTCTTTACCATAAAAAAATCCCCACAGAGATTGTTTAAATTAGCTTGCAATATTTTCACAGTTTTTGAATTGTTTTCTATATTTATTTTGATTCTTCAACTATATAACATTCTTCGTCTTTAAAAGTTTAAATAATGAATTAACATTTTACCAATGCTTTATCAACAAACTTGTTTTAGTCAGTGTTATGTTTTTCTCACATTATACAAAGTTGTTATAATGTATATATTTTTTGTTCATTTTAATTGCCAAATACATGATTTTAGAAAATGATCTTTTTTGGCCAACTTTACTACTTAGTTACAATTAAGTGATTATATTTTCTTTTTACTAAAATATAGGAGTGGAATTGCTTTGCAAAGGGTATGTGAATCTTTACATTTCAAAGTGTTGTTAAATTGTTTTTTTAAGTGACCTTAATAATTTAGAATTTTTTTTAGTGTTATTAGACTTTAGATATCCTCGTCTTTTAGTACAGAGAGCTAGCCATCTTTTCCAGTGTTCATTGAACTTTCAGTTTCCTCTTCCAGGTTATCTGTTTATATTCTTTGCTTTCTTTTTAAAATCAAATTTTGACTTTAAAAATTTATTTGTTATGTGTAAAATATATATTATATATCATATATTACACAGTGATATATGATATATAATCATATAATGTATATCTTAGTATGTATTATATATATATGTTTATGACTGTGCATGTGTGATATTCAAATGGCCCCTAAAATGATCCATATCTCTCAATAGGCACACTTTTTTGTATTCTTTTTCTATATTGAGTAATTAAATTAAGGCTACTTTTCTGAAACCAGTAATGATGTTTTGTAAATTTTAAGAGTTTGTCATAAAAGGTTTTCAATATCCATCTTAGTCTCTTAGAACATGCCTCTTGGATTTCTGAGCTACTGTGCTGAAAGCAGCATGCAGTGAGGTGACAGGGAGAGGGCCCGAAATTACACCAGAAAGATGCTCAGGGAACATTGAGCAGAAATGTCATCTCTGCCAAGTATTATCCAAAGTACAAGTCAGTGAGAAAAATGAGTGATTTTTGTTGCTTTATCTTGCTTTGGTTTGGTTTATTGAATAGCAATATATAAGTAAAACTATGCATGTCTATGTATCTGTGTACATCTATCTATCTATCTATCATCTATCTATCTATCTATCTATCTATGTACCTATCTATCTATCATCTATGTAGCTAACTAGCTATATAAATACATAAACACATCCATGTTCTGGATGTTAAACTTTTATTATTTATGTAGAATGCAAATTTGCTCTACTATGTTATGTCAGTTTTTTTTTCAGTCTTTTATGGTTTTTTCAAGCCTCATGTAATGTTTTCATTTCAGAAAAAAATTGTTATTCTTTTCCTTTGTGGCTTTTGCTTTTTTCTCTGTGTTTTTAAATAAATTCTTTCCTACTCAAATGTAACAGAAATATTTGCCTTGTTTAAGTTTGGTGGGTGTTTTTCCTTTAGTCATTAATCCATCTGTGAATCATTTTTGTGTATCATGTGATGTAGGGATGTAATTTATTTTTATTTATGTTGATAGTAAATTTTCCCAGTATTAATCCATATTCTTCCATGATTTGTAAGGTCACCTTTTGTGTTGTTATTTACATTACATATCAGATTGTTTTGGGCTGTTAATTTTATTTTATTGGTTGCCAAAACCACACTGTCGTAAATGTCATTAGTGTTCTATTAACAAAATCCTTACATTCTTTTATATCTAGTAGTTATTTTTCTTAGTTTTTAGTTCTATTAGTTATCTTCTTAATTGTTTCCTTTCATAACATGAAATTGACAGACAAGATCTGTGAAAAATTGTTAGGATTATTTTCTTAGAATTCCATTAAAATTATGCATTGATAATGGAAATGAATCACGTACAATGCTATGTTTTCCAATTTATGAAGATTCTTTGTTTATATGGATCTTCACAAGTGGATATGTGAAGATATCAAGGGTGGGGAGGACTTTATTTTATTTTATTGCAGTGGAGGGTTGGCTGATAAACCTGCATGATCATCATAGAAGACATACCAGCACCAGGTGGAAGGCTGGACTACAAAAGCCCCAAAGTCCTTACAAATTTTAAAGTGCTAGGTAGTAAAACAAGTTATACAGGCTCATTTCGAATGCCATTTCTGACCCTTTCTAACTCTGAAACTTTGGAAAATTGTTGATCTTTCCCAACTCTTTTTATTATATGTAAATTAGAGCTGATTATATAGACTTCAAAGCGTGGTTGGAAGCACCCAACACAGCGTGCCTGTTCCTCAGACACTCAGTGTATTTAGCTCCCTTTTCCATCTCTGTAATAATTAGCAATGTTCTCGGAGACAAAATCCTTACTATGAGCTTCAAGACTTCCCAATGTCCTTAGAGAACAGGGTGCTTTTTAAAAGTATTAATGATCATAATGATTTGATGAGAACCTTAGATTAACATGATTAACCATCAGAATCACCTCCCACATTTTACAATAAAATACATATGGTTTCTGAATTCTGAAGACTAGATTAATTCAAATTACTTCACAGGTCTGCTTTTTGGGGGTTGAGGGACTGTATTTCTAAGAAGTCCACGTCAAATCGATCTTGTACAGCTCTTGCTAGTAGCTTCGGTTTTGTAAACTGTATGGGTTCAAAGTATGAGCTAAGGTAAAATTTCAGGAGAGAATTTTCATCTTTCTATATTCAGAATAAGTTTCTATTAATATATTTGCAAAATGAAACAACTTTATAATGAGAATAATGAGTATTAAGAAACTACTCTTTCAAATTATGTACAGTTTGTGATTATGCAGTCAATGCATCATATATATTCAAGGTGGAAAAGACATTATAGATTATTTAGCTCAATTCTATGATGCTAAAGTTACATAACATTTGGAGCAGAACCTGGACGGCCAAACTGTATGATTTCTAGTACAGTAATCTACCTACTGTATTTGGACTCCTCCCTAGAATAAAAAAAGTGTTATGGTGGGAAATATATCTTCAAAACAATTTTATAAATGTAAGATTAAAAATTAAGACACTAAGTTGTCCATCTAACAATAAAATTCCCATAATTTAGCTATATAAGTCCCAGGGCCTTCTAAATATTTTATCTATATTCTGAAATGACCTTTGCAAATGTCATAAGGTCAGTGTGATCTATCTTCAGTGTATTAAGCTTGTCACCATTGCCAGAGCTATTTTCTTCACCCCTTTTCTCATATTCTTTACCCACATTTATGTATTTAAGGAAAAATGAAACAGTATTATATTTACACAAAAATTTAAAACATATTTTTCAACCATTACCTAAAATTCAGGTTATTTTATTACACCATATATGTATTAATAAACTGATTCTTACTGGCCCACAAAATCCTAAATAAGATGGTATACCTTTTTGAAATAATTTCTTTTTCATTCTTAAGCCCTCTCCTCTTCCTAACTCTATTTCCTGCTAACCAGTTTATTTTTTCCTGCTAAAAGTTGTATTCTGTCTATCCTAAAATTCATTATTTCTCTCTGTTCAGAGACAGAAAAATATATACGCAAGAATGACATAAGTCCTGATTATAGTTATGTGGGATTTACAGGAAAAACAAATCAAACTTGGCTTTTACACAGATGAGCTCACACTCTTCCATTTTTCCCATTGGAAACCAAAAGAAAAACTCAGGGAAGAAATCCAAATCCAAATCTTTATCCCAATGCCAATAATTGTATTCCAACTTTTCTATCTCTACGAACATGTCTTTCTCCAAACTTCTCACCCTTGCTTTCTACTCAGAAAACAAAAGTACACAGAACAAGAAACTCAAGAAGAAATAATAAATCTAGATAGTTCAAGCCTTTGACAAATGTCTACCAGAATATTAAATTTTATTTTAAGTTTACAAGTCTCATTACAAGCCTTTTTTAGCGTAAATAAAATAGAGTAGGAGTCACACAACTTCATGATGTAAAAACTGTATATAAACCGTGCAAAAATCTCCCAAGGACTTTTCGTTAAACCTAGAATGGAACCAACCTCTGCACTAGGAAGTGCAAAGCCCTCTAGGTTGTAAGTGGACATTTTTTTGTAATCTTTCCATTAATTCTCCCACTTCCGGAACAAAGGCCCCTTTTATTTGAACATATTTTGCATGGTTCCTGCCTCAAGGCCACTTGCTACCACTTCTGTGTAGAACATAGCAACCCTAGATCTTTACAAGACTGGCTCCCACATTGCAACGCCTAAAATGTCCTCCTTATCTAAAAATTTTCACCATTGCAGACACTGTCACGTGATTCCTCTTATTTTCTTTATATTATTTATCATCATCTGAAAGAATATATTCAATTTTTACTTGTTGTTTTCTATTTAACTCAATGGAATTTAAGTGCCATGAGAGCAGGACGCTTATTGGTTTAGTCTCTTTAGACACAATATCTAGGTGAGTTCTGGCATTGTATAGAGTCTTTATAAGTGTTTCTGAATACATGATTTAATAAACACACATTTTTATTATAAATGTAGTATTTTTAAATACATTATTGTTAAATGAAATTAGTAAGTTAAATTTTTCATAATTAAGTTACCTACTTCTTCCTCATACAAAAGTTTACTTTATAAGATATTTACTTCATTTCTTCCGAAATTCCGTATTTATCCTACCAAAAATTTGGTGAAAATGAAAGAAGTTACATGATTACCTTGTTAATATGTTTTATTGAGTAGGATTATAATTTAATTCTTATTTCCTTCTTTACAGTTTTCTGTTGTATATCTATTGATAAGATTTATGAAGAAGAATCCTGGTATTAAAACAATAAAAATATAACCCAGAGGAAAAGAGAAAAAGAAAAGCTAGAGAAAATAGAAATATGAAGTGATGATGATGAAGTTATTAAGAAAGTTCCTTCTACACATCTTAACTAATGGATGTTCATTCCAACTCCTGGTATATTATTCAAAAGCTGCTTCCATGTTCAGTATTCACATTATCAAGTTAATGCTTTTCTAAGGCATCACTCAGAGGCCAGTGACTCCTATTGCTATCTTGATATGAAAAGATTAACCCTCCCTCTTCCCATTGGAAGGGGGCTTTTAAGGTATTAATCATTTAATTTGAAGAAATCCATACTAATTTGCTTATAAGAGATGCTTAAAGCAAAACATTTTTTCCCCAGGATCCTTCCACTGAGGTGTACATTTTGAAAAGTGACATTCAGCAGCAGTGTACTGCTTTGATTTATAAATAGATGAATGTCTCGAATGGTGGGAATATAGAAAGCAAGAATTGTTTATTCTTTCTTGCATCCTAGTTGGAGTGGGGTGTTGGAGTATACAGAGGCTTGTGAAGCTTTACAGTTTTCCTTTCAATGATCTACTATAGGCTGCTCATTTATTCATTTATCCAATATTTGCTATCATGAGTTTTCTCAGTCTTTCTATGTGCTGTGTAAAAAAGAGTATGAACTCACTAAACTATGAACAAAATCACTCTTGGCTTTAGGGAAAAAGCCCCTCAAATCTATAAATAGTGTTTAAAACACTTCTTGATTCTTTTTCCTCATTTGCCTTTGACTTTCCATTAGTCACAGATCAGTTGCTACTTGATTGTCTTAAATCTCCATAGCACATTGATATTGTTTGGCTCTGTGTCCCCACCCAAATCACATCTTGAATTGTAATCTGAATTGCAATCGCCAGGTGTATAGGGAGGGTCCTGGTAGGAGGTAGTTGGATCACGGGAGCAGTTTTCCCTATGTTTTTCTCATGAATAGTGAGTAAGTCTCATGAGGTCTGATGGTTTTATAAAGAGCAATTTCCCCTGCGCTCACACTTCTCTCTCTCCTGCCACCTTGTGAAGAAGTTGCCTGCTTCCCCCTTGCCTTTCACCATGATTGTAAGTTTCCTGAGGCCTCTCCAGCCATGCAGAATTGAGTGAATTATACCTCTTTCCTTTATAAACTACCCAGTCTCAGGTATTCTTTATAGCAATGTGAGAATGGACTAGTACACATACTTTCGAATGGGTGAATCTAAGCAAGTAATATTGGCTCAATTATATCTGATTTTAGTAACAATATAAAGTTCTTTTTGGTTCTCAAAGAATGCTGACTATATTCTAAGTCCCCTTGTAGATCAACATCTTTGGTATGGTCTGATTTCTTGAAAACACTGGCAAACACAAAAATTGTACATATTACATACAACCTTATTTTGATGATATGACGGTAGGGCAATGGTAAGTTTATTAACATTTATAGTGTCAAGTACTGATTTAAAATTCTCTTTTATGATTAAGAGAGAAATTTTCTTATTCAATTATTTATAATATATGCTGCATACAAATATATGATTATAGATTGGTTACATGTATGAACAGGTAGTAATAGAAATGACTAGTCGCCAGGCATGGTGGCTCATGCCTGTAATCCCAGCACTTTGGGAGGCCGAGGTGGGCGGATCACCTGAGGTCGGGAGGTCGAGACCAGCCTGACCAACATGGAGAAACCCTGTCTCTACTAAAAATACAAAATTAACTGGGCGTGGTGGTGCATGCCTGTAATCCCAGCTACTCGGGAGGCTGAGGCAGGAGAATTGCTTGAATCTGGGACGTGGAGGTTGCAGTGAGCCGAGATTGCGCCATTGCACTCCAGCCTGGGCAGCAAGAGCAAAACTCCGTCTCAAAAAAAAAAAAGAAATGACTAGTCAAAGAGTATTTCTGGTCCTTGAAGTTCTTTTATAAGAAGAGATTGTTTCACTGAAGTTTTTAATTGACAAATAATAATTGTACATACTCATGGAGTACATAGTGAAGTTTCAATACATATGTTACAGCTATGAAATTGGAATAATTAGCATATCCATCATCTCAAACATTTGTGTGTGTGTGTGTGTGTGTGTGTGTGTGTGTGTGTGTGTGTGTATGTTGGGAATTTTCAATATCCTCCTTCTAGCTAGTTAAAACTACATAATATATTATTGTTAACTATAGTCACCCCACAGTGGTATAGAACATTAGAACTTATTCCTTCTATCTAGCTGTAATTTTAAAGAGAGAGTTCAAAGAGATCTTTGAGACTTGTGAAGCATCTTGGTAGGAACACCAGCTAAAAGAAAGGGCGAGTGAGTCAGGAAATGGGCAAGTAAATTAGCCATAGAAAAGGAGAAGAGCAGGTAAAACAATGGTAAAGGGGAGGAGCTAGGGACAGATACATAAAACTGATATATATCCTTGAAAACTAGTGTTTGAATAAAATATACGTCATTTGTCCTGCCTAAGGGAGAAAAAGGCACATAACCTGAAACAGGTCATTTGGCTAACAGCACTCTAGAGACAGCCCAAGTCAACTTTCTGAGTGCCAAGCACACAAAGCTAATCAAAAATATATCATTTAGTAACAAGTGGGCTTGCAACAACCAACACAAAAGAAACCAAGTTATACATAATTGAATATGTAGTTTTATGTACTGTGCTGCATCTTCCTAAAAAAGTTGATGTAGTTACATGCAAGACACGGTGAAAATACTGAACATAAATCGGTATTAAATATTGATGCCCCTGTATTATGTAGAGGTTAGCTTTTCTTCCCCTACAACAAGGAAGAATGTCAGTGCATCTCAAATGTAGCCCAGCTTACTTTCCCCAGACAACTGCAGCCCTGAGTACTTCAAGGTGCTTGATGTCTAGCTCATCGATACTAATTATTTCTCTTCCCCACTCAGGGTTAAATATACCTTAATGGATCTTAAATCTGCCTGACAAAGAGGCTGACTTAGAGACTCATCTTACCCATGACATACAATTATTAATTAATGAGGGTCAGCTGCATAAGAGGATTGCAGCTGATATGTGTAATAAAGGAAATCATTGCAGACTGAATTATTCACTGTAGAACAGGAAAGAGTACATTTTATTAGAATCATCAAAATTTCCTGTTTCCAAACTAATTAAGTTAACTGTTTCTGTAGTTTAAGCAAATTGCATTTATATCTTTTCAGTCGCTGCAATTTCCTTCTAGCAAATAAAATGCCTGTGTCTTTTCATTAAGGGCAATACGCTTCCTTCCCACAATAGTTAAATTCTGTTCTGACATTTTCGTTTCTCCTTGTCGCTTTTGGGTGGGGGTCAAGTAGAGTGTACATTGTTAATCTTTAGAGCTTGAGCCAGTGTTGGCAGCCCAATGTAAGTGAGAAACGAACATAGAGAAATCTCTATAGGCCCCCAATGCTGTTTCCCAACCGAAGAAAAATGCTTTAGGACAGAGTGACAATTAACTTAAACACACGTTTTCCCTTTTGGGACATTCTTTCCACCTGAGCACACTCTGGTTATCTAATATTATCTAAGATTTTGATTTAGGAATGTTCATCTCATGAGTGTATTCTTTTGAAGCTTGAGATCTTATTAAAACAAAGGATGTCAGATGACCTTAGCTTCAACCAACTGAACTATATCACAGGCCAGATGTGCAGAGACTCTTGTAGAAAAATCTGTTTGAAAAAAATATATATATCAAAAGAAAACAGAATCACAATGTTTCAAGCTTAATATACTGACTTATTTCCATTGGAGATATTACAATTGTCGGAATGCATTCTTAATGTTAATATACAACAAAGGACTCTTTGCCCAGCTATTGGGCTAGCCAGATATGGTGATTAAGATTCTTACAATTGCTTTTTGTTTAGAGATAAGTAACTAGAATGATGTATACTGTATTTCTTCAGCCTTTCCTGAATCCTGTGTTTGGGTTTCAGCCAGTGGGGACTACAGGCAGGGACACTCTTACAAGCATTCATTGACTTTCACCCTGTAGTTTTTTGTTAATTTATTGCCCATTAAAATTTAAGATCATGGAGGCCAGAGAATGTCTGCCTAATTTGCTTTGCATGGCAGTTTCTTTATATGCAGTGTATATTAGAATTTTAAAATTACTTGTTGATAATTTTAAGAAGATAAAATGGAATAGTCTATGCAAATTTCTGCCCAAAGAAATATGTCCTTATATGTTAGAATACATTATACTACATTGTTAAATAACACAGTTGAATAACTTTTAAAACATAGGATGATTGTCTTTGTTGGCTTCTAGAATTTACTATTTTTTTGTCTAACTACTGGAAAATCACATCAGTGGCCGTTCTTTTCTCCTCTCCTTTGCCCCTTTAGTCTTCTGTGTTTATCTCTGAGGACTGCTGCCCTGTCGTTGTTTCCACTTGTCCACTCTAACAATCTGTATGTCTATGCTGTGCCACTCAGGCAGACGCAATCCCAGAATGTAAAATGTCCATATTGCTTAGCCAACAATGTCCTAAATTCTGTCTATTTCCTCCTCTCCTGTCTCCCCACTCCATCTTCCTTTTTAACAAAGGAACAAAGGTGTCTGATTTTTTTAAGGTACAACATAAATGGGTGTGACTTGGAGTTGAGTTGGAGAACTGTTCAAACTTAGAATTCTGTCATTTAACATCCTGAAATCAGCTTTTATAAGTTTATGATAATAGATACCAAGTCACAAATTTTGAATTGTCTAATAGGCATCTGTAAAGTACAATATTCTTTTTCGCTAAGCACATGTTTTATTCATATAATATTGATAAAAGCTCAGGCAAAATTATTTACACAAATAAAATCATTAGAAATGTCAAATATGAAAACTGTAAGATCATTTTATAAAGCTTGGTCTAGTTAATCTCTAAAAGTCTGGGGCTGCTAAGTATAAGATATACAGTCTTCTTCAAAGTCTCTTCTTTCCCCTTTCTCTTCTTCCAAACAGCTTGATGTTAAGAACCAAAGTTCACTGGGCGCGGTGGCTCACGCCTGTAATCCCAGCACTTTGGGAGGTCGAGGTGGGCGGATCATGAGGTCAGGAGATCAAGACTATCCCGGCCAATATGGTGAAACCCCATCTCTACTAAAAATACAAAAAATTAGCTTGGCGTGGTGGCGGGCGCCTATAGTCCTAGCTACTTGGGAGGCTGAGGCAGGAGAATGGCGTGAACCTGGGGGGTGGAGGTTGCAGTGAGCCAAGATCGTGCCACTGCACTCCAGCCTGGGCGACAGAGAGAGACTCTGTCTCAAAAAAAAAAAAAAAAAGAAGATAAAGAAACAAAGTTCACCTGCTTTGCTGATTCAGCATGAAAGTTTCAGGATTCTTTGGCTGTAACTTTCACACAAGTTAACCTTATTGCAGTTCAGTGGATTAGAGTAAATGTCAAAATGCAAATTAATGCTTTTTGTCTCCCTACTAAATTAAATGCTAAGTAGGTGTTAATTCTTTAGAAAACTAATTCTGCAAGACTTGCCCCACATCTTATTGGTGAATAAAATTAACTATGATTTTAACTTCTCTTCATGTTCCTTTATGGTTTAATCTCATCATAACCCCTGAGTTGGATCCATGGGGCTCTCAAGTCATTCCCTGGATGAAAAAGATCCTTCTCTGGGCATAAAGTGTTGACTTGTTCAGGACAGGCTGCACTGTCTCTCTTTGTATAACCTTAGTTACATCTCAACATGTATCTATTTGAAGACCTATTTTTAGAAACTAACATATGTAGTGTTAAAACAAACAAGCAAACTAAACCTCTCCATTTTCAAATGCTAGACAGGGCATGCAACTTTTAGGACAAAATTTAAGAGTAGTTTCTACTGCAACACCAGTGTTTCAATTTGGACTAACTTGAGATTGTCTTGTTTCATAATCAGTCAATCCTTAGAATTCTTTCCTTTCCCCCATAGGACATTGTGTAATTTCACTTTTTCCCCAAATAAATGATATTCTGTTTTAGAATAACATACACTTTCTGCCCCAGTATTTTGTCCATAGTAGGCATATGAATAACATTTAATTATTTTTGTTGTTATCAATGAATAGTAATGAAGGCGTGTTAACTTTCTCAGAAAACATATGTCTATTCCAAAAGAGGCTTGTCTTATTTAACCATAAATGAATGGCCTTGATAAATATTCCAGACAGCCTGCAGGTTTCTTGAACAAATATTATTAGACAGAGAATGATTTTGTACATCTGAAATCAAAACATAGAGAGTGACTATTTTCAAAATTAAATATGATTATAAGGCATGTTTAAATAAATTGGGATTTAAACGTAGGGTTACTTGTACTGGTACTGTAACAGGTAAAGAACTGTACATATAACCCAGTATTTGTATCAATATAGACAGATTATTTGAATAATTAATCTCAACAATTGCTTTACTCGTAGTATGAGGGATTATATTATTCTCTATTCTCTCCTTACTTTTGCTTTTATAAACACCAGGCCTTTACTCAATAAGCCCCACAATATTATTGAAATTACTTGGAAAAAATTCTAGACTCATTGCTTAATTATTCCTGTCCTGATTGTGGTAGGTATAAAGATAGTATATAAGCGAGCAGGATAAGTTTATCATCTTAATGCTAAGGTGCTGACATTAAAAATGCCGCTATCATTGCCCCTATTAATTAAACATGTTGATTGACTCAACTGAGGCAACATACTAGAAATAACTTTTTCTTAAAAGTTTGTTCATCTTCTTTTTCTCTTTGTCCAAAAATGACAAAAGTAGTTTAGCTACTGTAAACTTTTTATTGAAGATTTTTAAATACATTATCTGATGCATGAATAAATACAGTTAGGGGCTTAACCATTTTAAGCAATAGGTTTATCATTTCTATAAGAATATATTGAATACTACTAATAATTAAACATTTCTATTGTTGCATAATAATTCTCTAGCAATTGATCCTAACCCAAATGAAATTTTCTAAATGCCAGATAAAGCATTCAAAATATTGATTTTAAAGAAGCTCAATGAAATCCAAGAGAAACCTGAAAACTAATACAAAGAAATCCTAAAATTAATTTAGGAAATGAATAAGAAACTTGCCAAGGAAGTAGATACCAAACAAACAAACTGAGGAACCTGATTCAAGATGTTTGACTAGACGCAGCCAGGAGGAACATCTGAACCAAAAAGCTGGGGCGTTGGGGAGACTGGTACTCTCTGAGCAGATCTTTTGAGGGAAGGCATTGAGAGTGGACGAAGGGAGGACACAGAAGCAGAGCTGAAGAGGGAGGAAGCTATGTACTCTGCACAGGACTGCTGTGTACTCTGCACAGGACTGCTGTGCACGAGATTTATTCCTGACCCCAATGCCTCTTGGGGAAGGGGTGAGTCAAACAGGTGAGGAGCAACCAACTCTTGCCATGGACCTCTGAAATCCTTGGAGCAAGAGATTCTACAACCCCCAAGGACACTGGAGCTGGCAAGAAAAGCTGCTTAGAGAGGTAGTAGAGGCAGGACTCCAGCCTGTGCAGAGCCCAGACAGTTTTGTGTGGGAATATCTGCAGTGGAGCATGGCCAGGGATGCCTATCCTCCAGTGCTCACCGAGCTCCTCTAGGAGACTTTATCCACAGGGGTACTCTTGGACCTGGACAGAGCAGGGTGGTTTTGCCCATGAGAAGTGACCAGTTCAGTCTGAGCACCCCCCTGTCTCCTGGCTTCTCCGGGGGTGCTAGCCTGCTGCATCTGCTTGCAGTGCAGCCTCAGATGCCCAACCAGGATGCTTCTCAGGAACTTTCATCATAGTTTCTTCTCTAGCAGACTGTGCCTGACCATCAAAGAGCTCCAGGAGAGCAGACCCAGATGATGTGCACCAGCCCACCTGCACCCTCCCCTTGCTGCAGTCTCCTCCACAACACCTTGCTGGCACAAAATCACCCATGGCCACTCCCTAACACCGCTTTGCTAGCATGCATGGGGATGGGCCTTGCTTTCCCTCCTCAACTGGCATTCATGTGTGCACACACCCCACCATGACACTGCAGCCAGTGTGAGCACACCCTACCCCTCCACAGCCTGCGTGTGGGTCCATTGCTAGACCAAACATGCACAGGAACACTGGCAGCCCTGGCTCCACAAACAAGCAGCAACTGCTCCTGTTGTTAAAGCACACACAGAGGCCAGCAACTCCAACTCCAAACTAAGCTTCATAAGGGAAGGAGAAATATGATCCTTTTCAGACAAGCAAATGCTAGGGGATTTCCTTACCACCAGAGCTGTCTTAGAGGTCATTAGAGAAATACAAATTAGAACCACAATGAAATACCATCTCATGTCAGTTAGAATGGCAATCATCAAAAATTCAAGAAACAACAGATGCTGGAGAGGATGTGGAGAAATAGGAACACTTTTACACTGTTGGTGGGAGTGTAAATTAGTTTAACCATTGTGGAAGACAGTGTGGCGATTCCTCAAGGATCTAGAACCAGAAATACCATTTGACCCAGCAATCCCATTACTGGGTATATACCTAAAGGTTTAAAAATCATCTACTGTAAAGACACATGCACACGTATGTTTATTGCAGCACTGTTCACAATAGCAAAGACTTGGAACCAACCCAAATGCCCATCAATGATAGACTGGGTAAAGAAAATGTGGCACATATACACCATGGAATACTATGCATCCATAAAAAAGGATGTGAGTTCATGTCCTTTGCAGGGACATGGATGAAGCTGGAAACCATCATTTTCAACAAACTAAAACAAAAACAGAAAAATCAACACCTTATGTTCTCACTCATAAGTGGGAGTCGAACAATAAGAACACATGGACACAGGGAGGGAAACATCACACACCAGGGCCTGTTGGGGAGTTGGGGGATAGGGGAGGGATAGCATTAGGAGAAATATCTAATGTAGATGACAGGTTGATGGGTGCAGCAAACCACCATGGCACGTGTATACCTATGTAACAAACCTGCACATTCTGCCCATGTAACCCAAAACTTAAAGGATGTATATATATATATATATATACACACACACACACACACACACACACATATATATATATGTAGTCCTGAAGGGAGTGCTAAACATGGAGAGATGAAGAGGAGAGATTTACTGGCCACCACAAAAACACACTTAAGTACGTAGACCAGTTACACTATAAAGTAATCACACAAACAATTCTGCATAATAACCAGCTAACATAGACCAGTTACACTATAAAGTAATCACACAAACAAGTCTGCATAATAACCAGCTAACAACACGATAATAGGAACAAATCTACAAATATCATACTAACTTTGAATGTAAACAGACTAAATGTCCAATTAAAAGGCACAGAGAAGTGAGTTGGATTGGATGAAGAAGCAAGAGTCAATTATATGCTGTACTCAAGAGATGCCTACCACAGGCAAGAATACACATAGGCAAAAAGCAAAAGAATGGAGAAAAATCTACCAAGCAAACAGAAAGCATGTCTTCTTTTATACATGTCTGATTAATGCACTAACCATTTCCTGGATCTAAAAAACATTAATCAGTTTGTATTCTCCTCTTCCCTCACTACACACACACACACACACACAGCACACACACACACAACACACATGCACACACACACACTATATTTTCTTAAGACACGTAATTTGGAGTTTCACTCAAATATCTAATTTTAGCTATTTTTAATTTTTTAATTTTAATTATTGTATGTACATGGTATGTGTATATATTTATGGGGCACATGAGATATTTTGGTATAGTCAAGCAATGTGCAATAAGCACATCACTTGAAAACAGCTTCATCTCTATTCCTTTAACAATACTTCCTTTCGAAAGTCTTTAAATTATCATCTAGAGAACCAAGGCAATTTTTATCATAATTCCAATGGAAGTTTGTTACAGAAAAAGAAAAAAGCAATCCTAAAATTCTTATGGAACCACAGAAGACTCCAAATAGTCAAAGCAATCTTGAGAAAGAAATGAAAGTTGGGGTCATCATGTTTCCTGTTTTCAAATTATATCACAAATCTATAGTAATCAAAAGGGTAGAATACTGTCATAAAAACAGATACATAGATGAATGGGACAGAATATATAGCACAGAAATAAACCCATGTATATACAGTCAAATTTCATATATATATATGTGTATATATATATATGAATATATATGAATGTGTATATATATATGAAATAATAGTCTCTTAAATAATAAAGAATCCTGGGAAAACTGGATATCCACATGCAAAAAATGAAATTTGACCCTTATCTTATACAACACAGAAAAGTTAACTGAAAATGTATTAAAGAGTTAAAGTAAGGCCTAAAACCATAAAACTTCTAGAAAAAATATTAGACAACAAACATTTTGACATTGGTCTTGGAAATGATATCATGGATATGACACCAAAAGCACAGGCAACAAATGCAAAAATAAACAAGTGGGACTACATTAAACTAAAGAGCTCTGTTACAACAAAATAAATAATCAATAAATAGAAAAGGCAACCTACAGAATGGGAGAAAATATTTGTAAACCATGTATATGACAAAGGGTTAATATTCAAAATATATAAGAAATGCATACAGTAGCAAAATAAATACATAAATAAAAACATGGGCAAATGACTTGAATACACATTTCTCCAAAGAAGATATACAGATGGCCAATAGGGATATGTAAAAATGCTCAACGTCACTAATCATCAGGGAAATGAAACTCAAAACCAAAAGAAGATGTAAGTTTTTACTCATTAGGATGTCTATCATAAAAAAGATAAAAGATAATATGTATTGATGAGGATATGGAGAAAAGGGAACCCTTGCACACTGTTGGTGGCAGTAAATTGCTGCAGTTGTTATGGAAAACAGTAAGTGTTTCCTCAATAATTTAAAATAGAGCTACCATATGATCCAGCAATCCCTCTTCTGGGTATATATTAAATGAAAATAAAATCAGTATCTGGAAGAGATAGCTGCAGTCATGTACATTGCAGCATTATTCACAATAGGAAATGACTTTAGTGTTCACTGACAGAAAAATGTATTAAATAATGTGATGTATATATACAACGGACGACTTTTCAGACTCAAAAAGAAGGAAATCCTGCCATTTGTGACAACATAGTTGAACCCAGAGGACATTACGCTAAGTGAAATAAGTGAGCCACAGAAAGAAAAATACTGCATGATCACACCTGTATATTGAATCTAAAAAAGTTGTATTCATAGAAGCAGAGTGTAGAATGGTAGTTACTGGGGACAGGGGATGGGAGAAAAATGAGAGATGTTGATCAAGAGGACAAAGTTTCAGTTATATGGAATGAATGAGTTTTAGAGATCTAAAGTACATGATGGAGACTGTGGGTAATAATACTGTATTGTACACTTGAAATTTGCTGAGCGAATAGATCTTAAGTATTTTCTCCATACGCAAAAAATGGTAACATTTAATGGATAATATAAAAAAAGACATATGAAATCAGAAGGAAAAGTAACAAGCATTTTCAAATTTCTTGAGAGAAGGCTTTTAAAATTAGGTGATAGAAGAAGATAAAAAAGATAATTTTTAAATTTCTGTATATCAAAAAGCATACATAATAAATGTATACAATTTTTGACAACAAAGTTAAAGAAAAAATTAAAGTTATAAATGTAGAGTGATTGGAGCAATAAAAAGAAAATTTAATTTTCTATATATCAAAATTTATCAAAAATAGAATAGAATATTTGAACAGCTGAAAAATCAGAAAATATTTTAAAACATGATATATATGTATATCTGCACATATATATGAATATGTGTATATATCCACATATATATGCACAAACACAACTAGCTTGTGAATCAATAAGAAAAATACAAACATCACAAAGAAAAAGCAAAAAATTCATGTGAGTATATCAGTCACAGTAAAATAATCATAACTGGTTTATAAATATGTAACTTTCTATTTCATAAGTAATTAAGTCTAACATTTCCTTTAATAACAAGACATCATTTTGCCTGCCAGATTAGCGAAGATTTTTAAAATGAATATATTCATTTTCTAGTTAGTCTGATGAGATATTTTCTTAGAGTACATATTGCTAGATCTTTATAGACAGCAATTTAGATGTGTGAGACTTAAATATACTCATATATTTTGATTGTTTAATAAGAAATAGGGACAAAAATGATACATAGAAATGGTTATCACAGCACAATTTATGATGATGAAAGAATGCTAATGGCTTTATTTTCATTATCAAGGAACTATTTAATCCCACCTTGAGATACATACAAATGATGGGAAACCATGCAGTCATTAAAAGGTATGTTTTATGAATAATTTTGTAATGCAGGGAAATGTAGTAAAAATAAATTATAATAAAATTTGTATAAACAACACATTTTAACTACAACAGTAAAATATATTCCTGGAAAGAAAATTATTAAAAAGTTATCAGAATTCTAACAGTTGTTATCTCTCGTTGTGCTTTTGAGATGATTTTTATTACAATAAATTTTTGCTATGTTATCATTTCTTCAGTGAACATGTGTTGTTATTATTATGTGAAAATATGTTTGGTAACCAATAACCTTTTCTAATTTTTGGAAAAAGGTATAACATTGTGTCAAATGCTTCATTAATTACCAAGTGATGGAAGATACAAAGTATGACAAATTAATTAGTTTGTTATGTGATATCTGTAAAAACTAAGTCAATAAACTGTTCCAATAAATTTCTAAGTAAAGAGCACAAAGTTTTTTTTAACCTTTGCTTCTTTTGGTCTTATTTTATTATTTTTATTTTTTTAAGAACGAAGACTTGAATATGTTTCCAGGCTATGTTAAAGGAGCCAACGTATTAGCAGAGATTTAAGATATTTTGTGAAGTAAGATCATGGAGAAGGCAGAAATGTAGTCCAGAGAAAATGCACAAATAAAAATTGAATGCTTCTTTCTTCAATAAAAGAAAGGCAAAAGATGAGGATGATTGAAGATGGAGATGGCATTTTAATTGGAAAGTAAGGATTAATATATTGTGTGAGGTATGACCCCTCCCCCTGCTCCTCAATTTCATGTTAAAGCCTCCAACCTTATGATTTCAGCCCATCATCAGAAAGACCATCATCTCACCATATTCAGAAGGTGAGATAAGATGAGGACCTATGGAGGGTACAATATTTCAACAGCTGCTACTTGGATTGGAATGAAAGCTGCCCACTGACTCAAGAAAAGGTTAGTGCAGAGTTCTAAAGGCCTAATTGATGCTGGAATTACTTAATTACTTTGTCTTGAAATCAGTTTTTCTTTAACACTGTCTGGTTATAAAAATGGTTCAAATGTATGATGATAGTATTTTTAGGGTTAAAATATTTTTAAAGTGATTTGTTAAAATCTTCAGTGCTAATAAATTTGAGGGAGTTGATGAGAACGTATTTAAAATATACATTTGGCCAACATCTCCAAAACTTCCTCCCACCCAGCTCCTGGAAATCACCATTACAGTCTGCCTCTATGAGCTCAACTTTTTTGGATTCCACCTATAAGCTAAATTATGTGGTATTTGCCTTTCTGTTTCTGGCTTCTTTCATTTAACATAATATCCTTCAGGTTCATCCATGTTGTTGCAAATGACAGGATTACCTTCTTTTTTAAGGCTTATAATTATTACATTGTGTATATATTCCATATATATATATATACACACACACCCCATATATATACCATATATAACCATATATATCATATATATTACCATATATATACCATATATGGTATATATATATGGTGTGTATATATGGTGTGTGTATATATATAGTATATATATGGTGTGTATATATATAGTATATATATGGTGTGTATATATATAGTATATGTGGTATATATATGCTGTATATGTGAATGTGTGTGTGTGTGTGTATATATATATATATATATATATATATATATATATATATAGAGAGAGAGAGAGAGAGAGAGAGAGAGAGAGAGAGAGAGAGAGAGAGAGAGAGACAGACGAAGTTTCACTGTTGTCGCCCAGGCTGGAGTGCAGTGGCTCAATCTTGGCTCACTGGAACTTCCGCCTCCTGGGTTCAAGCAATTCTCCTGCCTCAGCCTCCCAAGTAGCTGGGATTACAGGTGCCCCCCACCATGCCCAGCTAATTTTTTGTATTTTTTAGTAGAGATGGGGTTTCACCATGTTGGTCAGGCTGGTCTTGAACTCCTGACCTCAGGTGATCCACCTGCCTTGGCCTCCCAAAGTGCTGGGATTACAGGCTTGAGCCACTGCACCCAGCCTATACTGTATATTTTTTAGCCCTTCATTTTTTGATGGACATTTTGATTGACTCTATATCTTGGTTTCTGTGAATAATGTTGCAATCAACATGAATAGTAGGGAAGAGAGGGCTGGGGAGATGCTGGTCAAAACATGCACAATTTCAGTCAAATCATAGGAATATTTTCAAGTGATCTATTGTGCAATATGGTGATAACAATGAACCATATAGTCAATAACAATGGACTGCAGTTTTTTGAGATGTGGTCTTGCTGTGTTGCCCAGGTGGTAGTGCAATGGCTATTCATAGGCATGATCATAGCATGCTACAGCCTTGAACTCCCGGGCTCAAATCATATCCCTATCTCAGTCTCTCCCAAAGCTGGGACTGCATGTGTAACTGTATTCTTGAAAATCACTAAGAGAGTAGATTTCATGTGTTCTCACTATAAAATATAAGTGTATGAGGTAATGCATATGATAAATAGGTAGATTTAGTCATTCCACAATGCATATATATTCCAAAACATCATAGTGTATATTATAAACATATACAATTTTTATTTGTCTTAAAACAAATCTTTAAGAAATATTTTTAAAAATTAATGTAATAGTATACATTTGAGATAATAAATAAATCTAGAAAATAAATCTAGAATGAATTCAATAATCTGGATAGTAGAAAAGGAAGCCAAGGGTTATGTGCCTCTAAACAAATGAAAATATATTGTAAGAGAGTGAGATAGGTGCAAGATCAAAGAATGGGAACTTACACTTCTGTATTAGTCAGAATTCTCTAGAAGGACAGAACTAGTAGGATAGATGTATATACAAAGGGGAGCTTGTTAAGGAGTATTAACTCACACGATCACAAGGTCCCACAATAGGTAGTCTGCAAGCTAAGGAGCAAGGAAGCCAGTTTGAGTCCCAAAACTGAAGAATCTGGAGTCTGGTGTTAGATGACAGGAAGCATCCAGCACAGGAGAAAGATGTATTCTGGGAGGCTAAGCCAGTTTAGTAGTAGAGAGCTACTAGTAGTAGTAGTAGTAGAGAGCTACGTTCTTCCGACTGCTTTTACTGTGGCTGCACTGGCAGCTGATTAGATGGTGCCCACTCAGATTGAGGGTGGGTCTGCCTCTCCCAGTCCACTGACTCATATTTTAATCTCCTTTGGCAACACCCCTACAGACACACCCAGGAACAATACTCTGCATCCTTCCATCTAATCAAGTTGACATTCAGTATTAACCATCACAACTTCTTCTTCATTGGTTGACTAGGGAAACAGAACCACAACTTGCTGTATTTCTGATACTAGCTATATCCTCAAGGCTGACACGTAGCCACTTCCTGAATAGTGATTTACACAAACCCCAATGAGGTATATATTTAAGAATTTTTTAAAGTTCCCCATTTTAATTTTACCAACCCTTTCACTATCTTAGGTAAAATTTTTATTTTTCCAACTGTTTCAGCCTAGTTTTCAGTAAATATTTTTCTTAGCTAATATGAAATTTAAAAATACCTACAACTATTAGAAAGTGGGGAGTGTGCCTGTAGAACTATTTCTATAATTATAAAGGCATTTATAATTCCAATGCCTTTAGTATTTCTTGTATTAAATTACATAGTAGTATTTTACAACTGGGTAGAATTCTTAAATAGAGAACTCATTTATACAAAGTCATTTCTTGCGGTTGTCATTCACTACTTCAATTCTCTGCAATCAGTGAAATCATTTTGTGACCTGAAGAAATTTACTGGTGAAAAACAAACAAATAAACAAAAAAAAAAATTGTGAGTACAATTTAGGAGAATAAAGAAAAAAAATGTTTGTTAAGATGAACGTATCAAGTTTTGCACAGCAAATGATTTTTGAAAATCATGGAAATTAATGTACATTTTTAAGGTCAAAAGTTCTTTCACAGATTTTAGTGATTATACATATTCCTTTAGCATCCCCTTAATGAGGTAATCTCTGGGAATCTGAACGGTTTTTAAAATATTTTAAAATGTAATTCATTATGGTTGAAATCCCATTGGGGTATAGATGCCAAATTTGGATATGTAGGGAAGAGCTATTCACCAATGAGGTAATTAAATACTATTTGAAGTTGTATTTCAACAATCAAGGATTTATTAATGAAAGCTATAAGCCTTGTGTAAAATAAGAAGATACTGCTTGAGGCTGGGCTGGGCCTTGGCTAAGGAATTTAAGACTTTGCAATCCTGACACTTCTAAAATTTATGCAAATAATTTCTTTCAAATCTCTACTGTAATGAATAATTCTAAAAAGGAAGTCGCAATTGACCCTTATCAAGACTATTCTTATAGGAATGTTAAATATAATTCTAAATAATCAATATGCAAAGTTAGCACACTTATGATAAATGTAAATTAAGATGTCTAGGCTGGTGTAGGTTTGTATGTGTTTGTGTAGGTGTGCATTTCTTCTACATAGATTTTATTGATATTTGCTTAAAATATATTCACTGTAACCTTCAAACCAGTATTTCCTGAGCAACATGGACTTCATTGCTAAAGTGAATTCCATTTCACTTAAAAAAATCTCAAGCTGCATATAACTAGGTTATTGAAAATAACAGTAATACCCATTTGTATATAATCTTTACAACTTGGAAATAATTTTTACATTTATTTCCTGTGTGACAACCCTTCAAGTGACATAAACCAACTTAAAAATCTAAGAACTTGCCTGGTCAACTGTTGCACAGAATCGTATGTAATGAATCACAGTGAAGACAATAAGTAATTTTAAAACTGTTTTTGCAAGTTTTACTTTTATCTCTATGAGAACTTGGGAGATAAATTATTTCATAGACCATAATATTTCTTAATAAAAATGTTATTTCTGTTTTTCTTGTTACCCAATCTCCTACTTTTAGAGTCTCTGTCTTTGTTTCCCAGATCTTTATAGTGAAAGTTTTCTTCTCTGTTTATCCTTCCCCTTAGTTTTGCTTGCTCTATCTCCAGTCTTTTGATTCCAAATCATAAGATATACACTGATGACTGATGACATTTCCTTTGCTTTGGGGTAAGAGGGGGAAAAAAAGGACAGAATCTGAGTTGGCAAAAGTAAAAAAAAAAAAAAAGAGGTATGAATAGACTAGGAAATCAGGAACACTTGTGACATTAGTTATTGCAGTTCCCATTTTTCAGAGTTGAAATCCAAAGGTCAGAGAAATTAAATTAATGAGCTGAGGTAAAATAAGAAGTAGGTGAGATCATTAATATTCTACTTTTTCATGTAAATTTTAGTGTTTTTCTCTCCTTATCACATGTATCTTGGCTTCTCCTATTTGTAGAAATAATTTAAAAATAAGAAGGAAAATTATTTTCAGTAATCATTCTCAAAAATTTCTTCCCATCATCAAATCTTATTGTACACAAATATACAAAGTCACACATGCACACATATGTACACACACAACCTGTGATGGTTAATATTGAGTGTCAACTTGATTGCATTGAAGGATGCAAAGTATTGTTGCTGGGTGTGTCTGTGAGGGTGTTGCCAAAGGAGATTAACATTTGAGTCAGTGAACTGGGAGAGGCAGACCCGCCCTCAATCTTGGGGGGCACAATTTACTCAGCTGCCAGTGTGGCCAGAATAAAAGCAGGCAGAAGGAAGTGGAAAGACTAGACTGGCTTAGTCTTCTGGCCTACATCTTTCTCCTGTGCTGGATGGATACTTCCTGCCCTGGAACATTGGACTCCAAGTTCTTCAGCTTTTGGACTCTTGGACATTTGACCATAGAGTGAAGGCTGCACTGTCAGCTTCCCTACTTTAGAGGCTTCGGGAAGTGGACTGGTTTCCTTGCTCCTCAGCTTGCAGACAGCCTATTGTGGGACCTCACCTTGTGAGTGTGTAAGTCAATACTCCTTAATAAACTCCATTTTATATATATATATTTATCCTATTAGTTCTGTCCCTCTAGAGAACCCTAATACACAACCACTTCCACTGAAAATGCCAAGTAATTCCTTTGCTTTTTACCACTCTAATAACTGAGAGTGGAAAGAAATCTATTCTTAAATATGCTTCTATGACTTAGTTACTGGATTATTACCCAACCCCTGACTATTTCAGAGACAGACAGAATAAAAGTAGAACAGCCAGAAAAAGTCATCTTGTAAATTGATTTTTGGCAGATTGCTAATGATCACCCACATCTGATTGCTACTCTTGGATGCATATACCACTAGGCTACAGGTTCTAGTGTCCCTTGTCATCAGGTATGACTCTGTGCTGAATTCTGACTAATGAATTGTCAGTGGAAGTCATATACAGTATACCACTACCAGGATTGTCTTTAAAATCCTCCCATTGCCAATGTCAAATTTTTTCACCATGTTTTGGCTGAATGGATGGCGCTTCAAGGATCTGGAAGGCAATGAAGCTATGAGGCGAAAGGATCTTGGGCCCCTGAATAAGCTCATGGAAGGGTATTAATGAAAATCAATCACTTATTTCAATAAACCACAGATAGTTGCGAATCTGTATAAGAGTATCTAAAACTGGTATTCAAAGGACAGTGCTAACATAAAAATACAGAATAATATTTAAGAAGAATATTTAAGAGAAAAGGTAGGAAAGAAAACTTTTTATCGTTTTTGTCACTATTTTGTTTCTTCCACTATTTTCATGGTGTTTTCTTTAATGCCACAAATTCACTCTTGGTTCTCCTCTCCACGTTGTGGAAATGACTACAAAGTCTATGCAGTCTCTACCTTCTATTTTTTGCATTATCTCTTAGTATTTCTGATTTCTCAGGCACAAACAAAACAAAACAAAATTTAAAAGATTTTGTTCTTTCACTGCAATTTCAGTATGTATTTGTAGGGTTATTAGACAGAATTTGATAAAAAGTTGGTTGACTGAAAGATATCGATAAGATAGCTAAGAAAGGCTTGATTCAAGTTAAGTGCCCAAGAATCTGCCCTGTAACACATGCAAGCCCTGGAGGACTTCAAAAATGTGAAGAAGGAGTAGAATCCAAGAACCCAAAGAACGTACTGTAATACAGGCATCTATCTTCAAGATAAAGGTTACAGAATTTGGGAAGCTGACAAGAAGTGAGCAGTGTGTTTCTATGTTCACCAGAAGTGAAAATATGTCAGAAAATGAAATATATTTTCTATAAATACCATCGTAACTAAAAATTTAAAAAGTAAAACTACAACTCCACCACAAATTGCAAGACACATTCAAACTACAGAGCTTTTATATTCTAAGCATCAGCCTAAGAGTTAGATTGCAGACTACATACACTTATCTTCTATGTACACTCATATCTGGATAGAGATATAATGATTGGGACAATCAAATAGGGCCATCTCTAAAAAACCAGAATCTGAAAACATGACCTGCCTGCTTTGAGTTGAGTCTACACTCCTTTACCACTTGCATTCTTTTGTAACAATAAAAATAATAATAGCCAACACTTATTTAGGGTCTACCATGAGCCCAGCATAGTAAACCATTCATAGCTAGTCTTCCAGAGTTAAACAAAAATTTTAAATATGCTTGCTGGATAAGAATTAATAAGTATATATTATATCCAACAAAATGAGATGAGGTATTTGTAGGTAAAACAACAAAAATATACAATTATCTTTGAAAACCGGAGGCTTACAGAAACATTTGACTTGACCAATGTAGTGATGAATTGAAAAACTATAGCAGATTCCAACTGGAGTAAACTGAAGTCTCATTTGTAGTTTCACACCTGCTTAGGGACACAGCTTTGTGTATGGTTTGAATTCAAAACATCTCCAAGTAAAGCAGTCGAGTACCCCACAGACCATTCAGACTATTCCTCACAGTGTCTGTGCAGGCCTAGGGAGAGATTCATGCAGAAAGTGTTGGCATCACAAAATGTTACTAGGCCAACATTAGGACTGGGCTTCCAGCCCAGGTACACTAAATACCAGGAGGCAGAAAAGAGGAACAGCTGGCAACTGCTTTGGCCACATGTATCAACCTTCTTTCTACCCTCCTTCACTCTTGAAGGATGAAAGCAGTCTTCTTACAACTGGGACAGGAGGTGCCATCATAGCTCATTGTAGCCCTGTCAGGGGGCTATATCTGTTAGAACAGAAATATCAGCAGGGGTTTTCTTCCAAAGCTCAGAGCTGTCAGGTAAAAATTGAAGGGGAGCACAGAAATGTTCAAGGGAATCAACCAAGCATGTTTTTGATGTATATCCGTTTTCTTTATCAGACACAGTGAAGTTGGAGAAACTCCTGTTCCACCATAAGATCTGGTCATAAACATTGTAGGTAAAAAACTTGATTCTGATGGAAATTTTTTATTCCTTTAATTTTCCAACCTTAATATGGTACTTAATCTGAAGAAATAGCTCATTTTAAAGACATTTATTTGGATATCATTATGCATAAATGTGCTAATATGAGTCATTATACATGTAATTATTTTCATATGACAAATTAGGATATGGAAAAGGTGGTAATTTTATGACCGCTGAAAAGTGAGGATACACTTAATTACATTAGAGTTGATGTAGTAACATAAATTATATATGCTATAAGGCTTTAACCCAGTCCTGAAAATAATAATGACTAAGTAAATGATATATATTTAATTCACTGATGTTTTCATTATTCTGATAGATTTTAATTTATGTTAGTATGATTTTTTACATTCTTTGCTTCTATTTTTTCTTTTAAAGAAATATTGATCCATGGTACTTATCCACAAAATACTAGAACAGTTTCTCTGTTTATAGGTTCAAAAACTCTGCATTTAAAAGAATGTTCATAGTATTTCTTATACTTAGGAGCTAAATATTTACCATTAGTATTTCATGATCTCTTAACTTTGTTATCCACTTTTTGCTCTTTCTGTTTCTATATTACTATAGCAAGTTGATGTATTCTAATTTAAATAAAAGGACCATAAACTTCTTAGTCACTCAGGATCAAAACTTTGAAGAAGGAGTAGAATCCATTACAGTCCACTCATTCCCATCCCTGTAAGGCAATGGCAAAATCCAATAGATTCCATTTCTATCATCGACTGTGAATGCTCTGTAGATTACAAAGCATATATACCCATTAGAATAGTCTTAATTATAAATAATAAAAAGCAGTCAAAACTGGGTTAAAAATGAAAATGATTTATTGGCTTATATATCTCCAACTTCTAGTGGTAGGGAAAATATCAAGTGTAGTTTGACCGAGTTTCCCTCCCCATCTCTCTATGATTCTCTTTGTTATTCCTTCTGTAGATTGCTTTTGGAAATATGGATATTTTAGCAATATTGATTATTCCAATACATAAACATGGGATTTTTTTTCCATTTGTTTGTATCATCTATGATTTCTTTCAGCAGGTTTTGTAGTAAGATTTTGTTTGTTTTCTGTTTTTTTTGTTTTTGTTTTCTTTTTACTCAGTCTGGCTTTTCACATGGCAGAAGAATAATTGTTGCAATTCAAGGGTCATATACACAAAGATCAATACCCAGAAGGTGAGAGGAATCAAGTTTTCATGGTGGTCACATCAACATATTGTTCTTCATTCTAATTAGACTGGTTCATGTCATACATCAATTTTTGAACAAGCCACTGCAACTACAGAAATGCCATATGATGATTGGCTGAGAGCTGAATTATGTGTCCCTCCCATTCAATTTAAATTTATCAGTGTTTGACCTATCCCAGACAAAGTTTCAATTATTTATGTGTGCATGAAAAAATTTCATCCATCTCTACAGCTACTGTACAAGTGGCTAAAAGGTGTTTTGATGCCCGCCAACCAAAAACCACCAAGAATACACATGTGATCAAATTTACTGAAATAAGGAAGATTGTTCACCATTAAGAACACAGTAAAAGAGTATTGGAAGGAAAATGTTATGGAATATGGGCTTGTGTTTTGTGAATTTGGTAGGAGTTCAAGGAAGTGGAGGTTGTTTCTGGATTGAGTGTTGTCACAAAAGAGGAGCATTTCAATGAATGGCATCTCAACATTTTGTATCTAGTAGGGTGTGGGGAATAAGATTGTTTTTAATCTTTCTCAAGTGGAATGAACTCTGGGAAGGTGATAACAAAGTTTGCTATATTCTGTAAATCGCTTAAGGATATGAACCACATTTTAATGATTTTCTAAATCACCTCTATACCATGTATACAGATTAATAGTAGATATTCAGTCCATATATATTGACTTGCCCTAAAAGTTATTCTTCAGATGAATCAGTGGGCCTATGAAATTTTGTGAGATTTACTCAAGATTTAACTTGATGGATGAAAACGCCTATTGTTTATAAAATGTTAATTTTGACATAAAGAATTGTAGGGACATTCAAAATGTTATGACATTTAGTACCAAAACAAAACTAATATATCTGTATTGTTATTCACATTTTGTGAATGAGAAAAAAAGGGCTGAATGAAATTTAATAATTTAGCCAATGTTATGCAGATAGTATATGACAATATAAGTGTTTTCCCACTATAAACCACTATTTCTTTAGAGAATTATGGACTTACATTTTCTGAATTTCTAGAAATCTGGTTTTGCAAGTTTTAGCTGCAGCAAGACCCATAGCATATGATTTTTTTGTGTGTGACTTCTTTTGTTGTTGTTTTGAGACAGGGTCTCACTCTGTTGCCCAGGCTGCAGTGCAGTGCTGTGATCATAGCTCACTGCAGCTTCCAACCCTCTTGCCTTAGCCTTCCAAGTACGTGGGACTACAGGCTTGAGCCACTGTTTCCAGCTAGCATATGGTTTTCTAACCAATATTTAACTTCAGTTTAATGTTGTAAACCATACTAAATTCAGAGTATTCTTAATGCAATGGGAAATATTAATCTACTAATCAATACCCAGCTTCCCTGCCATTGATGGATTATAATGGAGATCAACTTTACTTCATTTTAATTGAGAAAGTAAGTATGCAGAACAAATGAAATATCTTCTTTGGTTACCCAATATCATAAGCTACTGCATTTTTGTTAGCTTTGGTTTTAATATTAACCTTTGTTAATATTAAAGAGGTTTAATATTTTACTGTGTTTAGTTTGCTATGCTTATTCCCGTGATTAAATCCATTTTTACTATGTTTAGTTTACTATGCTTGTTCCTGTGATTAAATCCATTTCGTACAATGTAAATGTCATGCTTCAGCACTGATCTTGCCTTAACTTATAATTTTTTTTCAACGGTTTTAATCTTGGGAATGTAGACGCTTTAAAGTGTAGAGACTGTAAATAGGAAGGTTCAGTTTTTAATTAAGTCTTAAAGTCATTGAGAAATATTTAATTTGCCAGAGATTGAGAATTGTTGGAAAGACACAACTGCAAAATGCAGAGAATAATGATTACCAATGACTTTAAAAATGTTTAATAGATACAGACTTTTTTCTTGCTACATGATGTTTCTTGTTGGTGTTTAGAGAAAGCATACTGCTTCTTTTGCTTCTTATGACAAAGAAATGAACTATGGTTGCAGAGTGTGTAATTTAAAAAAGAAACTTTGTCACTTTCTAGGAAGAAATTGCCTAAAAATAGAAAAATCTTACCTCTCCTACCTCTTCTACCTTTTGAGAAACTCCTTTTTATAGTTCAAACTTCCTTTCTAAAGACCTAATTTCCAATGCTACCACTTTAATCTTCAGTGGATTTTTGTGTTATTTCAGAGAACAATGAATGTATATGTAACATTTAAACTATCAGTAATTCATTGTGTAAGAGCAATCCAATGGAAACACCACGCTGAAACTATTGATTAAGATGTGAAATTTCCAAAATATTACAGAAAAACTTCAACTTTTTTGTACTTCCAGAGGAATCTGTATGAGCATAATTATTGAGTAGAGTAGCCAGATAGAACCTGATTAGCTATTACACTTTAATTTTTAAAATACACATTCCAGAAGAAAATTACTCTGAACTTTATTTCTTTATTCCAGTCGGAGGAAAATTAAGACTTTTTTTATACTCTTCAGTCGAAATAGACAATTATACAGGTATATGAACATTGGCATATAGTCTGTTCTACTTGTTCATTAAAAATATCCTACATAAGCTTAACTCTCAAAATAATTGAGTTTCCTTTAATATATGTGACAGAAGAGGTAAATAATATATGATTTTAATTATAACATTGTAAAAATAAGTTTTCTTTTGGCATTAACAGCTGCTAAAAAAATACAATGGAGAGCAAGTGTGTTTCATCCATTACCGACATGGAAAAGGATGTTTATATAAATATTTTAATCATTTAAATTGTTGATGTAGTTTGATGGCAGACTGTCTTTCCAAAACATATGTTTTTCATTGTCATAATCATATTTTTTCAATCTCAGGAGGGAATTAACTTGAGCTGATACTACTATAATAACAGCAAGATTTACTGATATTCATTTCTCAATAAACAGATGTTGATTTTTATCAGTAGAAGGTATCTGAAAGATAAATTGCAAGTAATCTCTGCTAATGATTCAGATATTAAACTATGGATACAATTCAGAGTAATTATTTTATTAGAAAAAATTATACTTTCCCCTTTTTTATATATAGAATAAATTGTGCCAACTCCCTTTTTGGACTGTAACCATCATATATATCTAATATTTAATTCACTGGATTGCTTTAAAAATTATGTTAAATATACAATGTTATCAACTGAAACTTATTCCCAAGAACTTAGGCATGACCATTTAAAAATTACTATCAAATAAGAAAATTCCTTTGCTTGAACTTTATTTCTAATGCAAAGTTTATTGTGAAAATGGCATACGTGCTTGGCATTGCCTGAAACAAAGTTTAGATCCTTTCATCATCAAAAGCATTTACAAAGCATCTTCATGTGTGTAACTCTTGGCAAACTACTGTACAAAATGTTTCAACAGAGAAGCTGCTCTCAGCTAGAAGTTCACTATCTATGAATTAGTGTCACCTCTGAGCTATGCTGATCATCAAACAGAAACCAATTATGAAGTATGAAGGCTCACCACTAAAACAGTGTTCATGAGAAGTGATCCAGTTTCTACTGAACGGTCAAGTTGAATACATGCAGCAAAGATCACAATGGTAGGGAAAGCAGTACTTATCTCAAATTATGAAATGCAATGGTTGATTATTGGAAAGTGTGAATAGAGTAGAATCCCCTACTTGCATATGTTCTGAAAGAATACATCTTTTAAGTCAAAGAATATTTATATATTCTAATGAATATTCATGTGAAGACATGGATGAAGAAGTGCAGTAGTCAGAATATTCCAGATAGTTTTAACAGAGTAAAAATATTATTAGGAATAGATACGCTTGATGTTTGCAAAGAATAATTTAAAGAGTGATCTGAAAGCACATATAAAGATTAAAAAGTTAAACAGGTAGGGGAGGCAAGATGATGATGGTGGAAAGCTAGACAGATGATGTAGAACATTAATTTACAGTTGTTGGAGAGATTTGCTGACATTTTAAATTTAACATGCCTACAACTTACCTTTCCAATCTTTGTCCCATTTAATAGGAGGAACCCTTGCTCAGGTCAAAAACTTGGGAGTCATTCTTGAAGCTTATTCCACCTCCAATCCAATAAGTAATTACCCTTATCCTCTTAATTAAGCTTCGAAAATGTGTCTTTACATGTTTTCCCTTTCCTAATGCTGAGACTCACATCTAAGCCAGAAACGTTTCTCAGGTGGCCTCTACAATAATCTTCCAATCAACCTGGAAAACTTGGTCTCTTTTCAATCCTTTTATTCTTTCTCTATACAGAGCAAGTGAAATCAAAATTTTATATAAATGTATATAAATATGTATATGTGTATACAGTTCAACTTTTAACAACATGGTTTAAACTAAGTGGGTCAACTTATATGCCTATTTTCTTCTCCCTTTGCCATGCTTGTGACAGCAAGACCAAGACCTCCTCTTCTTCCTCCTCCTCAGCCTAGTCTACTTGAAGATGATGAGGATGAAGACCTTTATAATAACCCACTTCCACATAATAAATAGTAAATGTATTTTCTCTCCCTTATGATTTTCTCAATAACAGTTTTTCTTTAGCTTACTAAATTATAAAAATACAGTTTATAATACATATAAGATATAAAGTTATGGCTTAATCAATGGTTTATGTTGTTGGTAAGACTTTTGATCATCAGTAGGCTATTAGTAGTTTTTAGTGAGTCAAAAGTTACAGGCAGGGGAAGAAGCAGAGCAAGGTAGTGGAATAGAAGCCTCCAGCACTCACTCACCTGAAGGAATACCAAATTGAACAACTATCCACACGAAAAAGCACCTACATAAGAACAAAAAAATCAGGTAACAGTACCTGGTTTTAACATATTAAGGAAGGAGACACTGAAGAGGGTAGGAAAGACAGTCTTGAATTGCAAACACCACCTTTCTCCTGTAGTCTGGCAATGGCCACTTGGCACAGAGAGAGAATCTGTTCTTAGGGTAGGGAAAGCACAGCGATTTGGAGACTTTTCGTTGGAATTCAGTGCATTCCTGTTATAGCAGCATAGGGTAGAACTTAGCTGGTGTCTACAGAGGGAGCTTTTTGGCCAGCCCTAGCTAGAGGCAAATTACCCATCCCAGCAGTTGGAACATAAATTCTGGCAAGTGCTGCCAGCATGGACTAAAGTGCTCTGGAGTTCTAAATAAGTTTGAAAGTCAATTGAGGCCACAAGACTACAATTCCTGGGCAAGTCCTGGTGCTGTGCTGGGCTCAGAGCCAGTTTACTTGCAGTGCATGCAGCCTATTGAGACACCAGCTGGGACAACCAAGAGAGTGCTTGTGTCACCCCTACCTCAACTGCAGGCAGCACAGTTTGCAGCTCTGGGAGGGACTCCTTTTCTCTTCTTCAGGAGAGGAGAGAAAAGAGTAAAGAGGACTTTTCTTGCACCTTGGATATCAGCTCAGACACTGTAGAATAAGACAGCAGGCAGAGTCCCAAAGCCCCATTCCAGGCCCCAGCTCCCAGAAAACATTTCTAAACACACCCTGGGCCAGTAGGAAACCACTGCCTTGAACGGAAGGACCCAGTCCTGACAGAATTTATTACCTGCTGACTAAAGAGACATTGGGACATGAATAATCAGCAGTGGTAGCCAGGCAGTACTCACTGTGGCCTTAAGTGAGACTCAGAACTGTGCTGGTTTCAGGTGAGACCCAGTACATTCACAGCTGGAATGGCTATGGGGAGAGACTCCTTCTGCTTGAGGAAAGGAGAGAGAAGAGTAGAGGAAACTTTGTCTTTTAGCTTAGGTACCAGCTTGACCACAGAGGGGTAGACCACAAAGAAGACTGGTATCCTTGATTCTAGGCCTTGGCTCCTAGATGGTATGTCTGAACCTTCTCTGGGCTAGAAGGAAGCCCACTGCCCTGTAGGAAGAGGCTTGGTCCTGGCAGTATTCACCATAAGGTGACTGAAGAGTCCTCGGGCTTTCAGTGAACATAAGCAATAGCCAGGCAGTACTGGATGTGGGCATGGGGCACTGGTGCCCATGAGGAGAAACTCTTCTGCTTAAGGTAAGGGGAGGGAAGAGGGGAAGAACTTGGTATTGCAGTTTGTGTGGCAACGCAGCTTCAGTAGAATAGACCACCTGGTAGATTCTTAAGGTTCCTGACTCAAGGCTCTGGCTTTTGGGTGGCATCTCCAGATGAGCCCAAGACCTACGAAAACTCACCAGCCAGAAGGGAAGGATAGAAGTCTGATTGGATTCATTACTGGCTAATTCTAGAGCCCTTGGGCAATGAATGAACATAGTTGGTACACAGGCAGTGATCACTGTGGGCCTTGGAAAAGACTCAGTCCTGTTCTGGCTTGGGATTTCATCCAGAGCAGTCCCAATGGTGGGGGCCACAGGGCTGCTTGTGTCACCCTTCATCCAGTTCCAGGCAGCTAAGAGCAGAAAAAAGGGTTCTGTTTGTTTGGGGGGAAAGTTAAAGGAAGAGAACAAGAGTGTCTGCTTTGTTATTCAGAAAATTCCCCCAGGTCTTATCCAAAACCACCAAGGCGGCACTCTTATGAGTCTGCAAGTACCACAGCATTATTAATGCTCCCTAAAGCAGATATGCCTGCAGATAACAAACAGATCATTACAACCAAGTCCCTTTGAATATCTGGAAAGCTTTCCCAAGAAGGACAAGTAGAAACAAGCCCAGACTGTGAAGACTGCAATAAATATCTCATTTTTAAATGCCCAGACTTGATGGACATTCATGAGCATCAAGACCATGAAGGAAAACTACCTCACCAAATGAACAAATGAACTAAATAAGGCACAAATGACCAATCCCAGAGAGATAGGAATATATGAACTTTAAAACAGAGAATTCAAATAGCTGTTTTGAGGAAGCTCAACAAAATCCAAGATAATATGGTGAAGGAATTCAGAATCCTATCAGATAAATTTAACAAAGAAGTTGAAATAATTAAAAACAATTAAGCAGAAATTATGGAGCTGAAAAATGCAATTGATATACTAAAAAATGCATCAGAGTCTCTTACTGGTGGAATTGAACAAACAGAAGAAAGAATTAGTGAACCTGAAGACAGCCTATTTGAAAATACACAGAGGAAACAAAAGAAAAAATAACTTAAAAAGGAAGCATGCCTACAAGATCTAGAAAATAGCCTCAAAAGGCCAAACCAAATAGCTTCAAAAAGACAAATCTAAGGGTATTGGCCTTAAAGAGATGGTAGGGAGAGAGTATAAGGTAGAAAACTTATTCAAAGGGATAATAAGAGAGAACTTCCCAAACCCAAAGGAAGATATCAATCTTCAAGTACAACAAGGGTATAGAACACTAAGGAGATTTAATACACATAAGACTACCTTAAGACATTTAATAATCAAACTTCTAAAGTTCAAAGATGAAAAACATATTCTAAAAGCAATAAGAAAAAAAACAAAAACAAAGGAACACCAATACTTCTGGCAGCAGACTTAGTGCAAATATTACAGGCCAGGAGAGAGTGGCATATTTAAAGGATTTAAGGGAAAAAAAAGTTTATCCTAGAAGAGTAGATTCAGCAAAAATATTTTTAAACTTGAAGGATGAATAAAAACTTTCTCCAAAAAACAAAAGCTTAAGGATTTCATAAACACCAGACCTGTCCTACAAGAAATGCTACAGCGAGTTCTTCAATCTGAAAGAACAGAAAATTAATAAGCAACAAGAAGTCATCTGAAGATACAAAACTCACTGTTAATAGTAAGTATGCAGAAACACACAGAGTATAATACAACTCTCATTGCAGTGTATACACTAATCATATCTTGAGTAGAAAGACTGAAAAGTTTTACTATCAAAAATAATAACTACTGCCAGGCATGGTGGCTCACGTCTGTAATCCCAGCACTTTGGGACGCCAAGATGGGTGGATCACCTGAGGTCAGGAGTTAAAGATCAGCCTTGCCAATATGGTGAAACCCTGTCTCTACTAAAAATACAAAAAACTAGCCAGGCGTGGTGGCGGGCACCTGTAATCCCAGCTACTGGGGAGGCTGAGGCAGGAGAATTGCTCAAACCCAGGAGGTGAAGGTTGCAGTGAGCCTAGATCACACCACTGCACTCCAGCCTGGGCAACAAGAGTGAAACTCCAACTCAAAAACAAATAATAATAATCATACTACAACAACTTTTGAAGACATGGACAGTATATTAAGATTTAAATAGAAATAACAAAAAAATTTAAAAATGGAGAGTGAAGTTAAAGTGTAGTTTTTATTAATATTACCTTTGCTTTTTTGTTTGTCTATGGGAGCAGTGTTTTCATCAATTTAAAGTAATGGGTTATAATATGTTATTTGCAAGTCTCACGATAACCTCAAATCAAAAATCCTACAAAAGTTATCCCACAAATAAAAAGCAAGAAATTAAAATATAACATCAGAGAAAATCAGCTTCACAAAAAAAAAAAAAAAAAAATGGAAGGAAGAAATGTAAAAAGAGAAGATGACAAAACAACCAGAAACAAACAGAATAGCAGGAGGAAGTCTTTACTTATAAATAATAATATTGAATATGAAGGGACTAAACTCTCCAATTAAAAGACATAGAGTGGCTGGCTGGATGGATTAAAAAAACAGGACCCAACAGTCTGTCACCCACAAGAAACACATTTCACCTATAAATACACAAATAGTCTGAAAATAAATGATGGGAAAAAGATATTCCATGCAACTGGAAACCAAAAAAGAGCAGGAATAGCTATATATATACATAGCCTGCAGAATTCTGAGTCAAACCTCTTTTTAAACAAATAGACTTTAAGATAAAAACTGTAAAAAGAGACCAAGAAGGTCATGATATAATAATGAAGGAATCAATTCAGTAAGAAGACACAACAATTGTAACTGTATATGCACTCAACAATGGAGAACCCAGATGTATGAAGCAAACATTACTAGAGATAAAGAGCAAGAAAAGCCACATTTCAATACTATCTGGAGACTTCAATACCTCACTTTCAGCATTGGACACATTATCAAGATATGAAGTCAACAAAGAAACAATGGATCTAATCTGCCTCATAGATCTCAAAGATCAAATCAACCAAATAGATAATTACAGAATATTTCATCCAGTGGCTGCAGAATACACATTTTTTCTCCTCATTACATGGATCATCCTGGATCCTAAAATTCTAAAATCTGTAGGGAACCACAAAAGACCCAGAATAGCCAAAGCTATCTTGAACAAAAAGAACAAAACTGAAGGAATCATATTACTTGACTTCACATTATATTACAGAGCTATAGTAAGATAAACAGCATGGCATTATCATAAAAACAAATACATAGACCAATGGAACAGAATACAGACGCCAGAAACAAATCCATAAATCTGCAATTAACTCATTTTTAATAAAGGTGCTGCATTAGTCAGGGTTCTCTAGAGGGATGGGCCTATTATGATAGATGTATATACCAAAGGGAGTTTATTAAAGAGTATTGATTCACACAATCACAAGGTGAGGTCCCACAATAGGCCATCTGCAAATTGAGGAAGTAATCCAGTTCAATTCCCCAAACCTCAAAAGTGGGGAAGCCAAGAGTGCAACCTTCAGTCTGTGGCTGAAGGCCCAAGAACCCCTGGAAAACCACTGGTGTAGGTCCAAGAGTCCAAAGCTGAAGAACCTGGAGTGCAACGTTCAAGGGCAGGAAGTATCCAGCATGGGGGAAAGATGGAGTCCAGAAGACTTAGCCAGTCTAGTCCTTCCACATACCTCTGACTGCTTTTATTCTAGCTGTGCTAGCAGTGGATTAGATGGGCTTACCTAGATTGAGGGTGGATCTGCCTCTCTTAGTCCCGACTTAAATGTTAGTCTGTTTTGGCAACACCCTCACAGACACACCCAGGAACAATACTTTGCATTCTTCAATCCAAACAAGTTGACACTCAATACTAACCATCACAAGGGCTAAGAACATGCACTGGGGAAAGGACAGTCTCTTTAATAAATAGTGCTGAGAAAATTAGATATCTATATGCAAAAGAATGAAACTAGATCCCTATATTTTACCATAGAGAAAAGTCAAATCAAAATGTATTAAAGGGTAAAATCTAAGATCTAAAACTGAAACTACTAAGAAAAAACTTTGGGGAAACTCTGCAGGACATTGGACTGGGCAAAGATTTTTTGAGTAATACACCATCAGCACAGGCATCTAAAGCAAAGACGGACAACTGGGATTATATAAAGTTAGAAAGCCTCTTCACAACAAAGGAAACAATCAACAAAGTGAAGACGCAACTCAAAGACTGTTAGAAAATATTTGCCTGCTCCTGTTTTGCCTTCTGCAATGAGTCATAGCTCCCTGAGAGCTCCCCAGAAGCAGATGCTGCCATGTTTCCTATACAGCCTGCAGAATTCTGAGTCAATTAAACCTCTTTTTAAACAAGTTATCAGGCTTTACATATTTATTTATAGCACTGTGAGAACGGATAATGCAGAAAATTGGTACTGAGAAGTGAGACATTGCTATAAAGACACGTGAAAATGTGGAAGCAGCGTTGGAATTGGGTAACAGGCAGAGTTTGGATGAATGTGGAGTGCTCAGAAGAGGATAGAAACATGAGGGAATGCTTGGAACTTCTTGAGACTGGTTAAAGTGTTGTGACCAAAATGTCAATAGTTATATGGACACTGAAGTCCAGGCTTATGTGGTCTCAGACGAAAATGAGGAATTTGTTGGAAACTGGAGCAAATGTCGTGCATATTATGCCTTAGCAAAAAAAGTGGCTGCATTATATTTATGCTCTAGGAATCTATGGAAGTTTCAACTTGAGAGTGATGATATAGGGTATTTGGCAGAAGAAATTTCTAAGCAGCAAAGCATGCAAGATGCAGTACAGCTGCTTTTAACAGCCTATGCTCAGATATGGGAGTAAAAGAATGACTTCAGGCTGGAACTTGGCCAGGCACAGTGGCTCATGCCTGTAATCCCAGCACTTTGGGAGGCTGAGGTTGGTGGATCGTGTAAGATCAGGAGTTCGAGACCAGCCTGGTCAACCTGGTGAGACCCCATCTCTACCAAAAATACAACAAAATTAGTTGGTGTGGTGGTGGGCACCTGTAGTCACAGCTACTCGGGAGCCTGAGGCAGGAGAATCACATGAACTTGGGAGGCACAGGTTGCAGTGAGCCGAGATCATGCCACTGCACTCCAGCCTGGGCAACAGAGCAAAATTCCGTCCCCCGCACCAATCCCCCCAACTCTAATAAACTGAAACTTATATTTAAAAGGAAGCAGAGTATAAAGAATTGAAAAATTTGCAGACTAGCCATATGGCAGAGAAAGAAAAAGCTTTTTTGAGAGGGGATTTCAAGCAGACTGTGGAACAATCACTTATTAGAGAGATTTACATAACTGCATAGAAGCCAAATGCTGATAGCCAAGACAATTGGGAAAGGGCCTCAAAGACATACAGGTCCAGAGGCCTAAAAGGAAAGATGGTTTCATGACACAGGCCCAGGGCCCTATTGGCCTGTGTAGACTCAGTATACTGCTCAATGCATTTTCCTTGCTCCAGCTCCAGCCGTGGCTGAAAGGAGTCTGGGAATAGCTTGGTCCACTGCTTCAGAGGTTGCAAGCCATAATCCTTGTTGGCTTCCACATGGTGTTAAGCCTGCCAGGACAGACTGCAAGAGTTAAGGCTTGGGAGCCTCCACCTGGATTTCAGAGGATGAATAAAAAATCTTTGGCATCAGGCAGAAGCCTACTGCAGTGACAAAGCACTTATGAAGAACCTTTACTGGGGCCATGCAGAGGAGAAATGTGAGGTTGAAGCACTCACACAGAATCCCCACTGGAACACTGCCCAGTGGACCTGTGAGAAAAGGGTCACTGTCCTTCAGACTCCAGAATGGTAGATCCACTGACTGCTTGCCCCCTACACCTGGAAAACCTGCAGGCACCCAGTGCCGGCCCATGAAGGCAGCTGCAGGGGCTGAACTCTGCCAAGCCCTGGGTCAGAGCTACACAGGGCTTTGGGAGTCCACTCCTCACATCAGTATGCATAGGATATGGGACATGAAGTGAAAGGAGATTATTTTGGAGGCTTAAGGTTTAATGATTGCACTGCTGGGTTTTGGACTCACATGGGGCCTGTAGCCCCTTTCTTTTGGCTGATCTGATTCTTCCTTTTGGAACAGGAGTATTACCCAATGCTGTATCCCCATTGTACCTTGGGAGTAACTAACTTGTTTTTGATTTTACAGGCTCATAGGTGAAAGAGACTTGCTTTGTCTATCATCAGCCTTTGTACTTTATACTATTGAATTCATGCTGGAATGAGTTAAGACATTGTGGGACTATTGGGAAGGAATGATTGTATTTTGAAATGTAAGAAGGACATGAGATTTGGGAGGGGCCAGGGGCAGAATGATCTCGTTTAAGTATGTGTCCCCATACAAATCTCAGGTTTAATTGTAATCCCATGTTGAAGGTGGTGACTGGTGGAAGGTGAATGTAGCACAATAGTGGATTTTTCATGAATGGTTTAGAATCATTCTCTTGGTGCTGTTCCTGTGATAGTGAGTGAGTTCTCACTAGATGTAGTTGTTAAAAGTGTGTGGTACCTCTACTCTCTCTGTCTTGCTTCTGCTTTTGCCATGTGAACTACCTGCTCCCACTTTGCCTTCTGCAATGAGTAAAAGCTCCCTGAGGCCTTCCCAGAAGCAGATGCCGCCATGCTTCCTGTACAGCCTCAGAACTGTGAGCCAATTAAACTTCTTTTCTTAAAAATTACTCAGTTTAATGTATTTCTTTATTGCAATGCAAGAACAGACTAATTCACTATCCACCTGACAGAAGATTAATAATCAGAATATATAAGAAGCTTCAACAACTCTATAGAAAAAATCAATTCAATTTAAAAATGAATAATTTTAAAAATAATTTAATTTAAAAAATGGACAAAAGAAGGCACATGGATGACAAACACATATATGAAAAAGGTACTCAACATCATTGATCATCAGAGAAATTCAAATCAAAACTACAATGAGTTATCATCTCAGTCCAGTTAAAATGCTTTTAACCCAAAAGCCAGGCAATAATGAATGCTGGTGAGGATGTGGATAAGAAGGAACCCTCCTACATTATTGGTGATAATGTAAATTAGTAAACCACTATGGAGAACAGTTTGGCAGTTGCCAAAACAAACAGCAACAAAAAAAAAAAACTAAAAACAGAGCTACCATATGATCCAACAATTCCACTGCTAGGTATATACCCAAAAGAAAGAAAATCAGTATATGGAAGTGATATCTGCCTTCTCATGTTTACTGCAGCACTGTTCACAATAGCTAAGATTTGGAAGCAACTTATGTGTCCATCATCAGATGAATTAATTTTAAAAATGTGATAATATACACCATGGAGTATTATTCAGTCATAAAAGTGAGTCAGATCCTGTCATTTGCAACAAAATGGATGAAACCGGACATCATTATATTAAGTAAAATAAGCTGCAAACACAAAGACAAACTTTGCATGTTCTCATTTATTTGTGGGTGCTAAAAATTTAAAACAATTGAAGTCATGGATATAGAAAGTAGAACGATGTTCACCAGAGGCTGTGAAGGGTTTTGGTGGGGGGCAAGTAGGAATGAGTAAGATCTAATACTTGATAACACAACAGGGTGACTACAGTCAATAATAGTTTATTGTACACTTAAAAATAACTAAACTGATATAATTGGATTGTGTGTAACACAAAGAAAGGATGACTGCTTGAGGTGATAGATACCACATTTACCCTGATGTTGTTAGTACACATTGAAGCTTGTATCAAAATATGTCATGTGCACCATAAATACATACACCTAATGCATACCCATAAACATTTAAAATTTCTTTTGAGTTATAGAAAAATATTTTAGTATGCCAGGTGTTAGCGCCCTTAACCCTCATGTGGCTGAAGAGTCAATTGCGTGTGTGTGGATACACACACAGACACACACACACACATATGTGTGTCGATACATCATATGATCAAATTGGTTTAGAACTGATTTCTGTGTGTGTAACCATCTGTGTGTGTGTGTGTGTGTGTGTGTAAATTTGAACATGTTAAAACCCTTCAATGGATCTTACCTTTTCAGAATAAAATTCAAACTGCTTACCATGGCCTACAGTTTCCTGCACGATCTTATCCTGCCAACTTCTAAAAAAACAACAACTTTTTTTTACTTGTTCTCTCACTGAAAAAAAGCAAGACATCTTGGTCTTTTTTCAGTTTCAGGTTTGTTTTTCAGGACCATTTACATGCTGTCATGCTGTTTACTTTGCTTGGCGTCTGCTTTCCTTTCTTTGTCTGGTTGATTTCTTCTTATTCTTCTATCCCAAGTGAAAATTTAATGATTCAGAAAAGCAATTGTCATTCACTTACCTAAAATTGTTTCTATTCATCCTGTTATTCTACTCCGTATCTCTTATTTCAATTTGAATTGGATTTCACATATTTGAGTGCTTATTTAATTAATATGATTATTTTCCCAATATACTTTAAATCTATTGTGGGTAAGGGACACATCTATTTTGTTCACAACTACATACTTATCCCTCAGTTTATTATATGAAGAGATCAGGCTTTCAAGATGTAGTGAGTCAGTAAATATGGCTGACCTTAGAGTTCTCATTTTTCCAGTGAAAGGAATGACATTAATAATGACATTAATAATATAAAAGCATATAACAAGTTAGAGCTAGAAACAAAATGAACCCAGATTCCCTAGGTTCCAACCAGGTATGGATTTTTTAATTTTTCTGTACTTGTTTCCTTTAACTATACTTGGTTATTGTTTTATTTAGAGTTTTCTAGAGTCAGGGAGAGACATATTGATACAATTTCAACATACCTTCTCTTATATAACAAGGAATAAGAGAGGAAAGAAAACAAAGATATTTGCTTAATATGTTCATACAGACACAAATGTATTTTTAACATGTGATCTGTAACTGGTCATATGTTCCTAGCTTCCAATCACCTTCTTCTACCAGTCTGGCCTTTTTCCTGCAGCAAGCATCTATGCTAGCTGTGGATTTTTACCTGTTGGAATGACCCAAATTTTCATGTGTGAGGGCTCTGAGCCATTCATACTTTGAAACTCAGTGGTTCAAACAAAGATTCAAACCAAATTGCTTTTGGTTGCTATATATTTTTCCTGAAATGTTCTGCCTCTTTGTTTCCCCTCATTAACATGGTGAGAAGATTAAACTAGATGCTTGTAGAATGCCTCACATGCTGCATTTGTATTAGTGTTTCTTTGTGATGTTATTCAAGCAGTTCTGTATCCTCTGAGTATCTCATACACAGCAAATTCTATATATTTATTAGATTTAAGTTGAATATTATTTATTAGAAAGCCACATAAGTGATGCTTTTATATTTCATGTTGCATCAGATGAGAAGGCGTATAAATTCTGGTTGTCCTACTATTTGTGGTATTCACTTTAATTACTCAATTAAGGTGATAGCAACCAGATATCCCCATTTTAAAATATATTTATTTAAATAGATATAAATATAGGTTTAAAATATATATATTTATACAGATATCTGTATCAATATGTGTATATTTCAAAAGTTGAAATATTTGAAATTATAAATTATATTTGAAATTATAATTCATATGGTGGTATTTAGACTTTATGTGAAAACTGCATTTCCCAACATTTTACTTTTTGAGTCTAGCATCCACTGATAATCTTTTGCTCAATTAATTATCTTTATTGGAGATGGAAAGATATTCATTTTACATTTATTAGCCAAAGTTTTTCTTTAATGAAGGGCACTTCCTGAGTGACAATAGGTGAATAACAATTTCACCTAAAAATACAGCATAAGTATTTAATTTGCTACTCTATTACCAATTTTTAGAGTAAGGAGTCCATGTAAGAGTCACTTTCAATGTTTGTAATTTAGTGTGTTTTCCCTGCTTTCTTAATATCTCTAAAAACCCATGGATATGTATCTATTCAGTGTGTTACAATCCATTGTAATCATTATTCTTTTCAATGTTCAAATGCTGACAAATATGGAGAATGGAATTACTAAGTTGGCTCCTGCATCTTGTTGACATTCTTTGTGTTAGCTTTTTAATATTTATGTGCCTTTCCAAAAAAATTCTATGTGTCTGTGACATTTCTAAAAATACAAAATATCCCTGTTATTTTCTCTGCTCTGGACCTAGTCTAGAATCAGCCATTCCTCAAAGGAAGCTTGATTCATTTTAGTCTCAAATAATGTTTAGAAATAAACACCTGGAGATTAAGCATGATTTCTGTCACTGGCATGCCATTGCTTTTAGGACTTTTCTGAGGACAAAACTAGATATTAAATTATGCATTCACATTGCTATTTCAAAAATCAAAATTAGCTTTAGCTTTTCTCTCAACTTTTATGATTTATATTCTTATCTCTTTTCTTTTATAGTAACAGTGATGGTAATACAACTATTTTTTGATTTACCCTATAATATGCATAAAATAGTCTTAAAACTATAATACTTGGCCGAGCACGGTGGCTCACACCTGTAATCCCGGCATTTTGGGAGGCTGAGGCGGGCAGATCATGAGGTCAGGAGATCTACACCATCCTGGCTAACATGGTGAAACCCCGTCTCTACTACAAATACAAAAATTTAGCCAGGTGTGGTGGCAGGCTCCTGTAGTCCCAGCTACTTGGGAGGCTGAGGCAGGAGAATGGTGTGAACGTGGGAGGCGGAGCTTGCAGTGAGCCGAGATCGCGCCACTGCACTCCAGCCTGGGCGACAGAGCAAGACTCCATCTCAAAACAAAAACAAAAACAAAAACAAAAACCCTATAATACTTATTCCACAAAAAATAAAACTATTAGGTGATATTTGGTATTTATTATTAGTTACTTTTTAGAATGATTTTAGTGCTTCCAGTAGGAACTACTACATACATATATACATACATTGTTTTCCTTATTTCTTATAAAAGTGTAACATAATTTAATGTACAGTTTTTGTTTTTATCACAAAAATCTTGCAGCTTCATCAACATGAACACATAGAAATATTTTACACACTTTTTATAGGATGCCTTTTGTGGGTATGCCATATTTAATCCATCTTCTATTTGGTATGGTTTGTCTCTGTGTCTGCACCCAAATCTCATCTTGAATTGTATTCCCATAATTCCCATATGTTGTGAGAGGGACCCAGTGGAAGATAATTTGAATCATGGGGGTGGTTTTCCCCCATACTATTCTCATGGTAGTGAATAAGTCATATGAGATTTGTTGGCTTTATCAGGGGTTTCTGCTTTTGCATCTTCCTCATTTTCTTTTGCCACCACCATGTAAGAAAGTGCCTTTTACTTCCCACCACCATTCTGAAGTCTCCCCAGCCATGTGGAACTGTAAGTCCAATTAAACCTCTTTTTCTTCTGTCTCAGATATGTCTTTATCAGCAGCATAAAAATGGACTAATACTGTAAGTTGGTAGCGGTAGAGTGGGACATTGCTGAAAAGATACCCAAAAATGTGGAAGCAGCTTTGGAACTTGGTAGCAGGCAGAGGCTGGAATGGTTTGGAACACTTGGAAGAGGATAGAAAAATGTGGGAAAGTTTGGAACTTCCTAGAGACTTGTTGAATGGCTTTGACAAAAATACTGATAATGATATGGACCTTGATATCAGTACCACCAGGCTGAGGTGGTCTCAGATGGAGATGAGAAACTTGTTTGGAAATGGAGCAAAGGTGACTCTTGTTATGTTTTAGCAAAGAGATTAGAGGCATTTTGCTCCAGCCCAGAGATTTGCCAAACTTTGAACTTGAGAGAGATGATTTAGGGTATCTGACAGAAGAAATTTCTAAGCAGCAGTGCATTGAAGAGGTCATTTGGGTGCTTTTAAAGGTATTCAGTTTTAAAAGGTAAGGGGAGCATAAAAGTTCAGAAAATTTGCAGGCTGATAATGTGATAGAAAAGAAAACCCCATTTCCTGAGGAGAAATTCAAGCTGGCTGCAGATATTTGCATAATTAACAAGGAGCTAAATGTTAATCTACAAGTCAATGGGGGAAATGTCTCCAGGGTATGTCAGAAACCTTTGCAGCAGCCTCTCCCATCACAAACCCAGAGATCTAGAAGGAAAAAAATGGTTTCATGGGTAGGGCCCAGAGTCCCTGTGCCGTGTGCAGTGTAGGGATTTGGTGCCCTGCCTCCCAGCTGCTCTAGCAGTGGCTCAAAAGGGTCAACATAGAGCTCAGGCCATGGCTTCAGAGGATTCAAGCCCTAAACCTTGGCAGCTTCCAAGTAGTGTTGAGCTTGTGGCTGCACAGAAGTCAAGAACTGAGGTTTGGGAACCTCCTCCTAAATTTCGGAAGATGTATGGAAATGCCTGGATTCCCGCTAGAAGTTTGCTGGAGGGGCAGGGCTCTCATGCAGAACTTCTGCTAGGGCAGTGTGGAAGGGAAATGTGGGGTCAGATCCCCACACAGAGTCCCTACTGGGGAACCACCTAATGGAGCTGTGAGAAAAGGCCATTATCCTCCAGACCCCAGAATGGTAGATCCACCAACAGCTTGCACCTGGAAAAGCCAAAGACATTCATCACCAGCCTGTGAAAGCAGCCAGGAGGGGGGCCTATACACTGCAAAGCCACAGGGGCGAAGCTGCCCAAGACCACGAAAACCCACCTCTTGAATCAGTGTGACCTAGATGTGAGACCCGGAGTCAAGGAGATCATTTTGGAGCTTTAAAATTTGACTGTCCTGCTGGATTTTGGACTTGCTTGGGCCCTGTAACCCTACTGTTTTGGCCAATCCCTGTAACCCCTTTGTTTTGGGCAATTTCTCCCATTTGGAAAAGCTGTATTTACCCAATACCTGTACCCACATTGTATCTAGGAAGTAACTAGTTTGCTTTTGATTTTACAGGCTCATAGGTGGAAGGGATTTGCCTTGTCTCAGATGAGGCTTTTGGGTTAATGCTGAAATGAGTTAAGACTTTAGGGGACTGTTGGGAAGGCATGATTGGTGTTGAAATGTGAAGACATGGATTTGGAGGGGCCAGGGGTGGAATATATGGTTTGGCTCTGTGTCCCTACCCAAATCTCATCTTGAATTCTACTCCCATAATTCCCACATATTGTGGGAGGGACATGGTGGAAGATAATATGATTCATGGGGGTGGTTTTTCCCATGCTGTTCTCATGGTAGTGAATAAGTCTCACAAGATCTGATGATTTTATCAGGGGTGTCTGCTTTTGCATCTTCCTCATTTTCTCTTGCCATCACCGTGTAAGAAGTGCCTTTCACCTATGGCCATCATTCTGAGGCCTTCCCAGCCATGTAGAACTGTAAGTCCAATTAACTTTATTTCCTTCCCAGTCTTGGGTATGTCTTTACCAGCAGCATGAAAACGGACTAATACATTATTAAAGGGCAATGAATTATTTTAGATACTTGTCAGTCACATAGATTTATTGATTTATTTTGTTTCAAATGCTTTTATTATTTAGTATTGTGTCATTTTAATATTAATTGATTAATTTTATGGTCTCAACTTAAGGGTTGAATAAATATGGAAATTAGCTATAAGAAAATGAGAGTCTAAATGTATTATCCCAAAGGGGTTCTGTTCAGTTATTGCTTAAGTTGGTTTTTCTCAAACTTTATGTTTAAGTTCTATCCTACAGTACCTCAGAATGATTGTAATTGATGATAGAGTCTTAAAGTGCTTAGAACAATCTATAGATTCAATGCAATTACTACCTAAGTTCTATTGATATTATTTACACAAATATAAAAACATTCTAAAATTTATATTAAATGACAGAATTATATAAAACTTTATATAAAATTACCCTGAAGAGTCAAACAATATTGAAAAAAATAACAAAGTTGGAGGCATCACACTTTCTGATTTCAATACATATCTCAAAGCTATAGTGCTTTAAAAAGTATGGTACTAGATAAAGGCAAACATATACACCAATGAAACAGAATAGATAGCCCAGAAATAAGTCTATGTGTATATTGTCTACTGATTTTCAACAAGGGCACCAAGATTACACAATGGGAAAACTTCAATAAATGATGTTGGTAAAACTAAATATCCCCAGGCAAAATAATAAAATTGGACCCTTACACCAAACACAAAAATCAACTCAAAGGAATTAAAAGGTACATATAAGATCTGAAACTGTAAAACTGCTAGAAAAAAACAGGGAAAGTGCTTCATGGCTTCAGACTTGGAAATGATTTCATGAATATGATTCTAAATATGACTTAGCTGTGTCCCAACCCAAATCTCATCCCGAATTGTAGGTCTCATAATCCCCAAGTGTTGTGGGAAGGACCCAGTGGGAAGTAATTGAATCATGAGGGGCAGTTACCGCCATCCTGTTCTCATAATAGTGAGTTAGTTCTCAAGAGATCTGACAGTTTTATTAGGGCTCCCCGGTTGGAAAGAGAGTTTCAGAGGTGCCCGTTGAGTTGGTCTCCCCTGTGTGAGACAACCATGGGAAGTGATGGGTGGCCTCTGAGGAGAAAAGTCTCCTTATTGCCCTCCTGTCTTTATGCCCTGAGCGCATAACCACTCCACGGCATTCTACACGTTGCTCAGGAAGATAAAACTCCCTTGAAGCAGTGGAGTATAATCAAACATCTTGGCTCCTCCTGAAACCTGCTCCCACCTGTTTCAGTCCCAATAACTTAAAGATCTTAAGTAGTTTAGACACATGCCTTTGCTCAAGGAAATTCACAGGAACCACCACTGCTATACATCTTATCGAATGACTCACTAGCTCTCCTTCACTGATTAATCGTTTTCCTTATCCCTTCCAAAGAGCTTGTAAACCAATAAATTGGGTGGAGCCCGAGAGCTCTGGGCCGTGAGCAAGCCTCCGATGCTCCGGTTCCCTGGACCCACCTTTTAAATGTTTATTCTGTCTCTTTCTAACTCTTTTGTCTCCACCGGACTCGGGGTACCCGCTGGGTGGTGTGGGGCTGGTTTCCCCAACTCTCCCCCCTCCACAACTTTGCTTATTCTTCCTGCCACGATGTGAAGGACGTGTTTGCTTTCCCTTCTGTGTATGTTTCCTGAGACCTCTGCAGCCACATGGAACTTTGAGTCAAGTAAACCTCTTTCCTTTTAAATTACCCAGCTTTGGGTATGTCTTTATTAGCAGCACGAGAACAGACAGTAAATTGGTAATGGAGAAAGTGAGGGGCTGCTGTAAAAATACCAGAAAATGTGAAAGCCACTTTGAAACTGGGTAACAGGCAGAGGTTGGAACAATTTGGAGGGCTCAGAATAACACAGGAAAATGTGGTAATGCCTGGAACTTCCTCGAGAGTTTAAAGTCCAGGCTAAGACTCCTTGCTGAGACTAACTTGCTTTTGATTTTACAGGCTCATAGGAGGAAGAAACTTGCCTTGTCTCAGATGAGACTTTGGACATGGACTTCATAATATGGAGTTTATTAGGGTGTATTAACTTACACAATCACAAGGTCCCACAATAAGCCATCTGCAAGCTGAGGAACAAGGAAGCCAGTCTGAGTCACAAATCTGAAAAACTTGGAGTCCTATGTTTGAGGGTAGGAAGCATCCAGCATAGGAAAAAGATGTAGGCTGGGAGGCTAAGCCAGTCTAATCTTTTCATGTTTTCCTGCCTGCTTTATATCGTGGTCCCACTGGCAGCTGATTAGACACTGCCCACCGAGATTAAGGGTGGATCTGCCTTTCCCAGCCCACTGACTCAAATGTTAATCTCCTTTGGCAACACCCTCACAGACACACCCAGGATGAATACTTTGCATCCTTCAATCCAATCAAGTTAACACTCAATATTAACCATCACAAGTCCACCCTTTGTCAACTTAAACCCATACACATCTCCTGAGATCATATATAATCTTCAAATAAAGACAATAATAAGGTCATAATTATGCCTAACATGATACAACTATCCTTCAGACAACTGGAAATGAACCAATCCCCAGCCAAAATACTATTACATAAAGTTAGCAATACTTCAATGCTGATATGAAGTCACTAAATCTTATGTTACATGACAAAGGAAAAAGGAAATAAAATTAAGATATTTTCTTAGTACAAGTGTATACATGCACAGACATCTTTTTAACCAAAGAAGGTGGAAGTATTCATGACAATAACAATCCTTGTTTCTGCAACTGGTCATGTGGTCATAGCTGGTATTGATGACTACTTTTGTATTCCCTTTGCCTTCAGTAAGCACCTCAGAAGGTCTTGGTATTTTTTTTTTTTTTTTAATTTTTTTCTGGCGGAGTGACCCAAATCATTCCTGAAGGGTCTGGGCCATTTGTAGTCCTGCCTGGATTGGGTTGTTGTAGTTTCCCATTGACCTTAATCATAGGGCATGGCAATACTAAAAGACACCCTAATGGATCACCTGTACTCCATGCTTACTCTTCCTTACCTCCGTTGTGGAGTAGTAGCCTGATTTCATCTTGGTAGTCTGGATCAATGACCCCGGTCAACACTGTACCTCCCTTCTTAGCCTGTTGACTTAACGGTAGAAGGAACCCAAAGTGTCCAGGTGCCAATCTTAACTTCCAGTTTAGTGGAATCGTTGTTTCGTCTCCTCTGGGCAGTGTTCCTCCTTCTGCAACTAAGACCGACCTCTAGGCAAGCAGAACATAGTCTGGCAGGATCAGAAAGCAAAAATTTTGCTAGTGGATCACTACGGGTGATGGTGAGTGGTGCCACTTCCGCTTGCACCCCTTGATTTCTGGCTATGGCAGAAACAGTACCATATATTGGATGCTGATTCAGAGCATCCGGAGAACTTTGCCTCAGCCCTGCAAAATATTGTCACCTAGTTGGCATTATAATTGTGACTTCAAAAGTCCATTCCATCATTCTGTCTATCCAGCTGCTTCAGGATAATGGGGAACATGGTAAAACTAGTGAATGGCATGAGCACCAATTCAGCTGCTTCAGGATGATGGGGAACATGGTAAGACTGGCAAATTCCATGAGCATGAGCCCACTGCCACACTTCTTTAGCTGTAAAGTGAGTGCCTTGGTCAGAGGCAATGCTGTGTGGAATACCATGATGGTGGATAAGTCCACAAAGGGTAGTCTTGGCAGAAGCATTGCATGCAGGATAGGCAAACCCATACCCAGAGTAAGTGTCTATTCCAGTGAGGACAAATCTCTGCCCTTTCCATGATGGAAGAGGTCCAATGTAATCAATCTGCCACCAGGTAGCTGTCTGATCACCCTGAGAAATGGTGCCATATCAAGGGCTCAGTGTTGGTCTCTGCTGCTAGCAAATTGGGGCCACAGCCAGATCAGTCTTGATGTGTGGAAGTCCATGTTGCTGAGCCCATGAATAACCTCCCTCCCTGACACCATGGCCACTTTGTTCATGAGCCCACTGGGTGATGATAGGGGTGGCTGGGGAAAGAGGCTGAGTGGTGTCCACAGAAAGGATCATCCTGTTCACCAGATTATTAAAATCCTCCTCTGCTGAGGTCATCCATTGGTGAGTACTCACATGGGATACAGATATCTTCAGAGTTTTTGACCACTCAGAGAGGTCCATCCACATACCTCTTCCCCAAATTTGTTTGTCACCAATTTTCCAATCATGCTTCTTCCAAGTTCCTGACCATCCAGCCAAACCATTGGCTATAGCCCATGAATCAGTATACAATCGTATATCTGGCCATTTCTCCTTCCATGCAAATAGTAATGATAAAAACAAATCTTGATGGCTCACGCCTGTAATCCCAGCACTTTGGGAGGCCGAGGCGGGCGGATCACGAGGTCAGGAGATCGAGACCATCCCGGCTAAAACGGTGAAACCCCGTCTCTACTAAAAATACAAAAAATTAGCCGGGCGTAGTGGCGGGCGCCTGTAGTCCCAGCTACTTGGGAGGCTGAGGCAGGAGAATGGCGTGAACCCGGGAGGCGGAGCTTGCAGTGAGCCGAGATTGCGCCACTGCACTCCAGCCTGGGCGACAGAGCAAGACTCCGTCTCAAAAAAAAAAAAAAAAAAAAAAAAGCAAATCTTGACAGGGCTGCAGGAAAAAGGGAATGCCTATAGACTGCTGGTGGGAATGTAAATTAGTGTAGCCACTGCAGAAAGCAGTTTGGGGATTTCTCAAGGAACTAAAAATAGAACTACCATTCAAAACAGCAAATCTTATTACTGAGTATATACCCAAAGGGAAGTAAATCATTCTATCAAAAAGACCCACATGTATCCATATGTTCATTACAGTACTATTTGCAATAGCAAGGACATAGATTCAACCTAGGTGCTGATCAATGGTGGATTCAATAAAGAAAATGTCGTACACATATAACAAGGAATACTATGCAACCATTAAAAAGAATGATGTCATGTCTAGTGCAGCAACATGGATGGAGCTGGAGGCCATTATTCTAAGCAAACTAACAAAGAAACAGAAAACCAAATACCACATGTTCTCACCTGTAAGCAGGAGCTAATCATTGGGTACACATGGACATAAAGATGGGAACAATAGACACTGGGGACTCCAGGAGGGGGCAGGGGAAATGTTGAAAAAATACCTATTGTATGCTATTCTTACTACCTAGGTGATGGGTTTAATTGTATCCCAAACTTCAACATCACACAATATACCATTGTAACAAACCTGCACAGGTAATCCCTTAATCTAAAAAAAAAAAAAAAAAGTTGAAAGAAATATTTAACTTGGGTATTAAAAGATGTAAGAACTATATAATGGTAATTGTGATGGTTAATACTGAGTGTCAACTTGATTGGATTGAAGGATGCAAAGTATTGATTCTGGGTGTGTCTGTGAGGGTGTTGCCAAAGGAGATTAACATTTGAGTCAGTGAGCTGGGAAAGACAGATCCACCCTTAATCTGGGTGGGCACCATCTTGTCAGCTGCCAGTGGGACCAGAATATAAAGCAGGCAGAGAAATGTGAAAAGACTAGACTGGCTTAGCCTCTCAGCCTACATCTTTTTTCCGTACTGGATGCTTCCTGTCCTCAAATATAGGACTACAAGTTCCTCAGCTTTGTGACTCAGACTGGCTTCCTTGTTCCTCAGCTTGCAGATGGCCTCTTGTGGAACCTTGTGATCGTGTGAGTTAATACTTGTTAATAAACTCTCTCTCTCTCTCTCTCTCTCTCTCTCTCTCTCTCTATATATATATATATATATATATATATATATATATATAGTTAGTTAGTTAGTTCTGTTTCTCTAGAGAACCCTGAATAATACAGATTTTGGTACCAGGAGTGGCTTTAGAGGAACGGAATATTAAGGATGGAGTTCTTTTGTTGGTTTGGGGGTTTCTGGAGTTGACTGCTTAATGTGATTAGACCCAAAAATGCAAAGGACTCTACTTCTAATAGTATAAAGAACACTGATAGTCCTTGGCATGACCTTTTTAAAGAGTTATGCAAAATAAGTGAATTTGACACTCGTTTCACTGCTCTTTTTTTCTTTATTTTTGTCTCACTGGGTTGATTCAAAGGAATGGTCTTTGAGATCTGAAATTCTTTCCTCAGGTTGGACTAGTGTGTTATTACTGCTTACAACTGTATTTTTAATTTCCTGTAGTAAATTTTTCAATTCCAGGCATTCAGTGTTTTCCTTTCTTCAAATGGCTGTGTCATCATTCAACTCTTAGATCATTTTACTGGCTTCTTTGCATTGCGCTTCAATTTTCTCTTAAATATCGTTGATCTTCCTTGCCATCCGTCCAGTTCATTGTGTGGCTTATTGAAATCTGGAGTCTTATTTAAATCTTGTAATTTCTGGCCCCCTTCTTTCTATTACTTGACTGAAGTAATTCTTTCTATCTCCTCACCATGTTTCGTTTGTCCATCCTTACCTGTCTCTCGTTGATAAGTATAAAATACAACCTTCTTCCTAAATCTTTACTTCATTACTGGAAGTATTTACTAGAAATTTTTTTGTTCTCTGATTTACTGTAAATAATGTTAATATAGTTTGATTTGAATTTATAAATATCTAACAAATTCAAATATATGGGTATGTGTCTGATATTTCCTTTTAGACAATAGGTTACTGGTAGATAGAAAGGTAATTTATTTGATCTGTCATTGTATTTGTTGAAGCTCTAAGCACTGAGCCCCACTTTTTTTTTTTTTGGAAGACAGTCTTGCTCTGTCGCCCAGGCTGGAATGCAGTGGCGCGATCTTGGCTCACTGCAACTTCTGCCTCCTGGGTTCAAACGATTCTCCTGCCTCAGCCTCCCGAGTAGCTGGGACTACAGGCGCCAGCTGCCACATCCAGCTAATTTTATTTATTTATTTATTTATTTTTTAAAATTTTAGTAGAGACAGGGTTTCACCATGTTGCCCAGGCTGGTCTCAAACTCCTGAGCTCAGGCAATCTGCCTCCTCAGCCTCCCAAAGTGTTAGGATTACAGGTGTGACCCACCGCATCTGGCCGAGCCCCATTTTTTGAGTCAACAAAATCATATCTCTTGTATCTGTTGGTGTTAAAACAGAATTATAGATTGTACATTAAAACACAATTACAATTCATTCCAGTTTTATTATATTTAGAAAGCAACTTAATACTTAGTGTAAGTTATCTTCTGCAGATTTTTTAAATTGGATAAAATATATCTTCAAATAAATTCAATTGCCATGTGGCATTCAGCAGAGAAACAAGGACAATAGTTAGAAAAGCAATAAAAAATCCTTAACACAAAGGGTGTTCAAAATTTCAATCTGTTAATATAAATCATTCAGTGGCTAGCCCAATGTTAGACTTTTTAAAAAATAAGTGCTGCCTGGCCCAGCGTGGTGGCTCATGTCTGTGATCCCAGCACTTTGGGAGGCTGAGGCAGGTGGATCACCTGAGGTCAAGAGTTTGAGACCAGCCTGGCCAACATGGCGAAACTCTGTCTCTACTAAAAATACAAAAAGTAGCTGGGCGTTGGTGGTGGGCCTGTAATTCCAGCTACTCAGGAGGGTGAGGCAGGATAATTGCTTGAACCCGGAGGTGGAGGTTGCAGTGAGCCAAGATCGCGCCATTGTAATACAGCCCAGGTGACAAGAGTGAGAGTCTGTCTCAAAAAAAAAAAAAAAAATAGTGCTGCCTAATGAAGCTACTATATGAATTTACAATCATAAGAAAAAACATATTTCTTTCAAAATATTTGCAGCATATTTTGCATTGTATTTGAATATTTCCATGCTATACTATCCAACCATATTTTAAAAACAACACTGAATTTGGGTCCATGGTTCCTATGGGAAACAATAAAAGGTCACATAAAATGTTTTTTATGTTAGAGGTGAGAAACTAAAACAGGCAATATTTTAGCTTTCTACCACATAGCCTCATTTTATTTTGGAACAATTTCCTAGAAGATTTCAAGGAGTTTCAAAGAAAGACACACAAAGGTGCAAAGAATTTATCATCATATAGAGGTCACTGAAACAACATAATGTATGTTTGTAGCTCTGGGCTTCTTACCAGTTCAAATTTACTTACTAGGAAAAATAATTGTTCTTAAAAATACTTTCAACTGAAACTATAAAAATTTGCCTTTAACCAGATATTTTAATCTATATGAAAATGTACTTTCCTAATCCATTTGTTCATATACCAATTGATTTTAATCACTAAGGAGATGTTCTGTACATTAATAAGTCAGAGGGCTAACTGCTAGTGTAAATTAACTATGTAAATTATTAGGCACACTTTCAATACTAAGTGTATTGATGCCAATAGAACTGTCATCATATATTGATTGGCAAGGATGATATTGTTTAGTGGCTCTTTAAATAAATATTTTTGGTTCCAACCGAGAGAATCATATTATAGTAATTGACCCTCTCATTCTTTTTTTCCTCCATGTTCAAATTTTATGTGTCAAAAATCAATTAAAATTCCATTGCCAATATATGGTAGTGAAGATTTTTAAACTATATAGCTTATAGTCATAACTTTATTTATTTTTAATTGACAAATAATAATTGTATATATTTATGAGTTACAATATTATATTTTGATCTATGTATACATTATAGATAGATTTGATCAAGCTAATTAACATAGCCTCACCAATTTATATTCATAAGTTTTATATGAATGTGTCATATTGTTTTTGTAAAAGGGGACAATATTTTCCTCTTTTAAATTCCTTTCCCCTTCTAGATGGAAATGAGGAATTTCATTTACATTCAAATAATTAAATATAATGTTCACATGAGTGTTTTAAATCTCTCATTTCAAATCACATTATAGCAAATGAAAAATAAGGTAATGGTTAAAATAAATGATTGGTAAACATAGAAATCAAAGTTGTAAAATAGAAACTGCTTAAATATGGTAACTTCATAATCCTCTTCCTATTCTCATTATCATTATATACAAAACCTAATACGCCCTCAATTAATATTGAAGGTGTAAAGAAAAGCAAAATCCGATCTGAATCATACAGTGTCTGAAATCTAAGAACTTTGCTCCTGTCTTCCTTTGTTTCTGAAGCTTCTGATAAGCAACAGGAACAAAAACAGAAACAAACAAAAAACAACACTGGGTAATCTTTGCTTTGAATTCCATATTGAAAGAAATCGCCTTCTTGTGCATAAAAAGTTCCTGCTTTCCTTCTCCCCAGAATGAAGGGTTATAAAGTTTAAGTGAAATCTAGGGCTTTTAATGGCACTCTCCTCCTACTGGGGGCGTCCCCCCGGAACCTATCTACCAAGGCACTCTGACCTGAATCAATCCCTGGACCTACATTGTGCCAAATCTTCCTAGCAGGTAGGATTCAGTTTTGAGACTGAGCAGTTTTTGATACAATTCTTTTGATTTTACTCAGTTCAAATTTTTCAAAGGTTGGACATCAAAAAACATCACCTTAGCTTTGCTACCCACATCTTCTATTCTCCCGTCTCTTAAATGCATTCTTCTTTTTTCTTTTTTTTTGCTCCACAATAAGAGTGCTATGTACTGAAAGTTTATGTTCCTTCAAAATTCATATGTTGACCTAAACCCCAATGTAATAGTATTAGTAGGTGGGGTATTTGGGAGGTGATTAGGTCATGAGGATTCTGCCTTCATAAATGGGATTAATAACCTTAAAAAAGGAGACCTGTGAGAGCTTTCTTGGCCCTTCTACCACATGAGGACACAGAGAGAAGGCCACCATCTATAACTCAGGAAGCGGGTTCTCACCAGGCACTGAATCTGCTGGTGCTTTGATCTTGGACTTCCCAGCTCCCAGAAATGTGAGAAATACATTTCTGTTGTTTATATGCTACCTAATCTATGATATTTTGTTATAGCAACCTGAACTGACTAAGGCAAAGAGAATACAAATATTTAAAATCCTTTGTTGGGTAATTATTTATTCAAACACTGGCTGCATCTGCCCTTTATATTTTCTATCACTTAAAGGAAATGAAAATGTTATGTTTTATGCTTTAAAGCATCATCATACTTAGTAGTTTTCTGGTAATGATTATTAGGCATACTGAATGTTAGATATGTTTTTGATAAACACTGATATGTCACTTTTCTGAACCAATATTTCCATGAGTGTTACATGAAGAAATAATATAAGCAATATTGCCAAATTGCATACATCTTTTGAATAAACATATGCGATTCTTTGGAATTAGTTTTACTCACAAGCAGAGGGAGGCTCTAAGGTCCTATTAGCATTCGACATATTTAAAACACAAATTTAACCAACTTATGTTTTCCAATAATGTTTTGGGAGGTTTTCAGAATTTCTGAATGTCTTCCAAACTACCCAATATGACATGATTCAGACTATTTGGAAAAAACAAGCAAACAAAAAAAACCCTCATAGCTACCTCAAGTTGCAAATTGATTAAAGCATTTCTATTTATCCCTATAGTAAGAAACATGGTTTGATATCACAGTTTAGTTATGTTCTCCCAGACTTTTCTTTCGAATTTTGTTATTGAAGCATTCCTACCAAAACTGAAGGCATTTGGATTGATTGAAGGTTTAGACATTAAACCTTCTTAATGTTAAAATAAACATAATTTACAGTTTCTCCTCTGAACATATTGAGAGTTCAAAATAGATGTGTAAAACAGTTTGATAATGATCACTCTTATATACATTTCAGATTAGAAAATCGCTAAGCTGTATCTTTGGGAAATGTACAGAAGAGCAATTGAACTTCTTACTCAGTATAGCCTTAGAGAACAGTGACTTGAACTTCTAGTCAATAGAGACTTCTTCTCCCACCCTTGAGTGTGGGAAACTGAATATAAACTCAAAATTTTCAATGATGTTGGAGTTACCAGGCTCATTTATACACAACTTTAAGTGGATGCACATAACACATTTGTACAGAAAAATTCTGAATAGATAGTTTAGGAACCAACTCTAAGAGTTCAGCAGAATAGAAGATTGTGAACACAATGAGAGTTTCAGAAATTGGATTTGTACTTCTTTAAAGAAACTTGACTTAATCTTTCAATATATTCTTTCTTTCCTTACCCCCTAACTCTATTGGTATTGTTCAATCTTTTCTTTGTGTCTTAATTCTATACTAGCACCTAAACATAATTCTTTCTTTGCTAAAAATATTTTTTTCAATTGACACATGTAATTATATTACATGAAGTTACAGTATACCTTTGTAACATATGTGTGGGTTACAATTAATACATACCTATACTGTATTAGGTTGCTGTAATGGCAAAAACTGTAATTTATCATGGTCTGTGCTGGAATTTAGCAAAATCCTTCAAATTAGCAAATTCACAGAAAGCTTACTACTTATATAAAAATAAAAATAAGTTTTTAAGATTTCCCACTCATCATTTCTAAAGGGCTAGGAAAATGTTATTCAGCATTTGTAAAACTATATTTCTGGAAAGCTGTTAACTTGCATAACTCAGACAGGTGGTCTTAGCACGTCTTATAGAGTAGAAAGAGTGTGCATATTTTGATGAGTTATAAATCTTTCCACCCCTCTCTTCCTTGTTAGCACATGTCTGCCTCCATCTTCTCTTGTCATATTGCTATTGTTACTTGTATTTCCTGTCAAGTAAGTAAAGGTGGAGATGTTAATTTACTGGAGCAAACATGAGGCACTATCAATATTAAAACAAAAGGAACACTGTATGTTTGTAACATTTCTTTCTCTCTTTCTTTCTCTCTCTCTGTCTCTCACACACACATACACACCCACATACACACACCATGTGTTTGTTAGAACAAAGAGGAAATAATAAAGATCAATGATTCAATGATATTGAGTCTAGGAGACAGAAGGCATTTATTATAGGTATCGAAAGGATAATTAATATGGAAGGTGTTTATTTCTTCTTGTTTTCATCCCCAAAAAGAGACAACAAGTAGTATACTATCATTTTCAAACAGTTTTGTCTCTTAAATCATCCTTCATCCTTTCTTATCTATCCACCATGGATTCATTTCTTCAGAACTAATTAAGGCAATTATATTGGACATGTCTTCTGTCTTTTTTGCTCTGATTGCATTTAATGCTGCCCCTATCTTTTACTGAATTAAAGATTCACATCCATCCCTAGATTTTTAAACATGGTGTTTTTATTTGGTTTCCCAGTCTTTCACTCATAGCCTTTCCTAAAGATTTTGTTTCAGCTCATCCTTCTTAGTTGTCTTGTTTCAGACTGTTTAGAGCTGAGGTCAGGTAACCATTTCCGTAAAAAAGCCAGATAACAAATATTTTAGGCCTTGCAGGGTCATACAGTTTTTAACACAGCTACACAGCTCTGCAGTTATGAGGTAAAAGCACCCATTGACAATATAGAAATCAATTGCACATGCCTGCGCATGCACACACACACACACACACACACACACACACTCACACACGAAGAATGTATTATGTGTTAGTGAGACGACCACGTTGAAACGGCTCCCCGGCAAAACTCCAGCTGGGCTTTGCACCGGGAAGAATGCACACTGGGGTGGAGCCACAGAAGTTCACACCATTTGCAATGGGGAGGAGCCTGGCCCCTCCTCTTCCTGTGTGGAACCTGGGATTCAAACTGCAAAGCGGGAAGCACACGAGCAAGGACTCTGGCTTCTTGAGGGTCCCTGTTTCCTGTTTTTTCCCTTTTCACCCAATAAAACCCTGCCTTACTCACTATTCAAATCATCTATGAGCCTAATTTTTTGTGGCCGTGTGGTAAGGACCCACGTCTTTAGCTGAAATAAGGAAAAAGTCCCACAACACTAGGAACTTGTTAGACGCTAGAATACACGCATGGATAAGCAGAAATGGCACTTGCCCAACTGGATATTGCAGTAGTAAAGGGAAAATAGAAAATAAAAGGACAATTATAACTTGGTTATTATAACTTGGAGGAAATAACTTGATATGATGGAATTGGGCTATCAGGAAAGCCTTCTCTGAGGTAAGATGTTACTTCAGGGATTTAAAGGCTAAAAGTGGATAACCTGGTTAGTTGACTTCTTTTATGGAATGGTGTCTTGAAACTAGTTTTGTTTTTTAAATAAATGTACTACCTTTAATAAATGTACTACCTTTTATGCAATTCCACATATTTATGGTCAACCACTAATTGCCTTTCTTATCACTCTTTTTGGGGGGAGGGTGGTATCAAATAGGGGACATAAATCATAATAATCCAGGTTATGCTGCAAGAACAAAACCACAATTGTTACAAAGTTACAAAGTGTTTATGTTTTTTACTCACACTACACAATCATGAGTCATCAGGGAAATCTGCTTATGGTAATCACACAGAGCAACAGGCTTGCAGACCAGACCCCATCTCAAATATTCCCAGTTGCCATGTGAGTGATAAAAGAGGGAGCTCTGAAGGCAGCATGTGAATGTCTTTCCTAATAATGACACATATCACTGTGCACAAATCTCATTGGCCAGAATCACTTGCACAGTTCCACCCAAGCCCAGGGAGCTTAAAAGTAAAATCTTATCATATACTTGGAAAATGGAGTCCCAAATATACTCTGTGAGAAGTACTATTGATTAAAACAGTATCTGTTTTTTGTTTTGTTTTGCTTTCTTTTTTGAAATCCTCTTCTTAGCAAAATCACATTTTTTATACCTTTTGGAGCATGCCTCAATTGAATGTTTCAAACATTATCAAAAATAATTTTTGAGTAATTATATTTTTGAAGACTATAGCCAAACTAAACAACAACAACAACAACAACAACAACAACAACAACATGAAAAGCTCTAACAGGCAGTAGGTCAGCTTGTGGCATAGAATTGAATTGATAGGGACAGGAGGCAGAGAAATTGTAGGCAGAGAAGGATGGGTTCCCTGGCGAAACCACACCCTCAGACTGAAAAGCCTGAAACCACGGCCCAAATTCAGAACTTCTGTCCCTGTTTTCCTGCTTGAATGTTGCCTTTTCCTAAACTACCCATGGCCCACCCCATCCCACCCCACCACCCTAGGCCTATAAAGACCCCAGACTCAGTCAGCAGAGAGGAGAAGCAGCTGGATGATGGAGACTATGGCTGGACATCAGAGAGAAGCCGCTTGACTTCAGAGGGACAGCTTGATGATATAACTTTGGACAAAAATTCGCCTGGAGACCACTGGACTTCAGGGGAAGATTACCTTCCTGCCCCATCTCCTTTTCAGCTCCCCTTCCCACTGAGAGCCACTTTCATCAGCAATACAATCTCCCACATTTATTATTCTTCAATTAGTTCGTAGGACCTCACTTCTCCTGGATGCTGGACAACAGCTTGGTACCCACCAGTGCAGATACAAAAGGTCCCATGTGAGCTGTTAACACATAAGCCATTCATGGATGGCAGAGCTAAAAGAATGCTGTAACATGCCCTCTGGGGCTTCAAGGGCTGTGGGCATCCCCTGCCCACTGCCAGAAACCACAGTGAGGTCTGCACAGAGTATGCTCCTGCTAACACCCAAAAGCACTTGCCCCAGCTCCTGCACCCATTCAGCTGCCTGCTCCACCCCATAAGGGGTGGAGCACAGAGGGTCTGAGTGAGTGGAGTTCACTCCTGCCAGTGCTAAAGCAGCTGGCTGGTTCCAGTGTTCGTGCACTCCAGTTCTTGCCTCATTCTCTCACACATTCCCTCCCACGCATGAGGAGTTGAAAGCTGTGGGCTGGGTAAATGAGGCACCCTTGTCATGAGTCATGCCAAGGAGTCAGAGAAATATCCTGCTTCAAAGTAAATAAAAATCACAAGATCATAGGATTTTATAGTCATTGTTTGTGTAATAGTTTAATATTTTCCTCAAGGTCATTAAATAAATATCCCATAAACATAATTAAAATTGTAAAACAAAATTTCTTCATGTGAATAATATCAGTATTTGGTTTACTGCAAAAGATGTATTACCAGTTAAATAGAACTTTTGGATAGTGGAGCACACACACAAATAATAAGATTTGTATGAGAATGTTTATACTTTTAAACACTATGCAGATGCTAGTCTGTAAAATATATGTAAACTATATCAAAGAAAAATATGATTCATGCCCTTATACCTAAATATGAGCATCATTAATAGCTTGGCAATTTACTTATTTTTTGTTTTCTCCATTTACATGAGTTGTGTGTTTTTAAAAATTTTTCATTTGAATTAAAGTTAGATCACAAACTATTGCTATATGACCAATATTCATATCATTTTGGAGGCAGGCAATAAGCATTTATTTTGTTCATGCCTGCACATTTAATTTGTTTACAGTGCTTCTGCTTTAAGTTACCATGGCTGAGGAATCCTGCCCCATGGTGTTTATTCCCAGGGCCATAGTTGAGGCAGCATTGTCGTTTCTAGGACATCTCACGGTAATGGCAGCTGCACAAAAGAACAAATCTCAACATTAAGGTATAATTCAAGCCTTAGCTATTTTCTTGTCTGCTAACATTTCATTGGCTAATCAAGTCATATGAATTAGCCCCAAATCAAAAGACAGGAAGCATATAACTCCCATGAAGTTGGGGAGATGGGGAAGAATAAATACTTTTCAACAATAATCTAGTCTTAACACGTTTCATAAATATTCACATTCCTTCAATGCAAAAAACATGCTACCTCCATCCTAAGATTCCCCAAAGTCTCAGCCAGTGATGTCATCTGACTCAAATTCTAGAATCTTATGGTTTATAGGAATTCCAAATGTGGCCCTTTTTGGTTCTGGAGTACTTTGAACCCCAAATCTAGTTATTTGTCCTTACTTGTTTTCCCACATACTCAACATAAAATGGTGAAACATGGATAGAATTAGGGAAAAAAAATCAGAAAATCAGAAAAAGAGAAAAGCAGGAGCTATAAGGAAGAGAATGGTCCATACCAATTCTGAAATCTCATTAACCATGTATTATTAGGTCTTTCTACCCTGGTTCTGCTCTGTGGGAGTAACCCAGTAGTAGATTATTCTCCGTGACTCTTGGCTTTGCTCTCTGAAAGCTTTTTCATTTTTCATATTCATCCTTGGCTGCTCCTGAAGAGGGCATTATAAAATTTACTTTTTAGTGTGATGTTGAGCAGCTTTCCAAGCCCACTTGCCCATTGAAAGTTGCCCATATAAAGTTGTAGGCCAAGATGTCTTGTCTTCTCTTAAATACATGTCGGTCTAATTCAGTACAGGCTGACCAAACTTTTTCTGATGAAGCTTTCTTAGTGCTATGCGGTTCTTCAGTCTGTTTGGTTTCATCAAGTCAATGTGCCATAAGCTATGTTTCCAATTGCTATTTAGGCATGCCTCATGCCTTTCTCTTTTATTGGTATTTTTTAGTAGGAGTCCTTTTGTATGGCTAAAAGGGTGTACCAGAAACCAACTGTTTTACTTTTAGATCTTCATAAAAAGTGTCATATTCACATTTTAAAAAATTGTTCTTAACTCTTCAGACTGTATTTACTGGATAGCGTCATGGAAATGGTCTCTGTCCTCCAGCTTTGTCCCCTTGCCTTTGGTTTGAAAATCCATTTTTGGAGATGAGAAACTACTTTGTTTCCAATTTCAAAAATCCTAGAATATCTGGACTTACTATATTCACACTTAATTTGGCTTGTCCTTTGGGAAGTACATTATCAAAATACAGATAACAAGATCCAGTACACACTTTTAATATCCTTTCTGTAAACCATCTTGTCCAAGTCTACAAGTTCAAAAGGCACATTTTGTGCCTCACAAGGTACAGCAGTGTTTAGTCTGTCAAATGCTTTACCAATATATTACAATTCAGGTCACAATTTTTTGTAACAGCTCTCTTGTCATTTTCTCCTGCTTCCTATAGGAATGCCCTCTTTACTCATTGGTCAATCACAAACCAATGCTACATATTTTATTTTTGTTACAGCTGTGCCACACATCTTCCTTCCAATTTGATAACAAATATCTTTAAAATCTTAGTGACACAAAATATGTGTTTGTTTTATACCAAAAACTGTAGGTCTGCTTCCAGTTGTGATGTTGAGTTGGCAACGCTTCACACTGCAGGATGCATTTCCATCTGGGGTGTACATGAGGTATTAGCAACTATCTATGGGATCATCTCCTTATGGATATTGCAGAAATATAAGAGACTAAGTTTACTGTATAAACATATTTCAAGATCTTGCTTAGTACATAGCTTCTAATATCCACTTGGTCCAGGCAAGTCACACTGTTAAACCCAAAGTCGAAAAATGGGGAAATACATACATACTGGAGATAAGGGAGGAAGAAGGACATCTGTGAACAATTATCTAATCTACTTCATATATTTCATTTTTTTATTTCTAATTATCCTAATTTTAGAAATTGGTAAAAATGTAATTTATATTAAAGGTTTACTATTTATAAATTAATATCAAAGGTAATGAATTCACCATATCCATTTGCTGTGCTACTGATTCAGAGCCTCTGACTATAGCTGGTTGACTCAAGTCCTGAGATGGCAGAAGTGTCACCATTTTTTTGTATTAAGTTAAAATTATTCATTCTGAAGAATGCATTACAATGAAAATGGATTTCAGGGGAGAAAAGCAACTCACAAAACTCTTCATGGAGAGAGAAATCTATGTTAGTAAATTTGTAAAGTTATCAATGTTGCAACTGGTACAATCAATCTGAAAATGAATTCTGTGTTTGTATTCTAAATGAGATTGGAGTGTAAGTTTGCCTCCACTCTCCTTTTGAAAACTAATTCAAATCAGTCTGATTTAGCATTCATCTCTTCACTGGACAATCCCATTAATATAATCATATGCAGAAATTAAAACTTGGCTCTTAAAATTACAAGCTTTGTAAATCCAGAGAAATTGCAATTAGCCCTTTGAAAAAGTCATCACTTATCTATGAACTAGTTATATATCATCCATCAGTAAAAAGGAGACATACAATTAGAGATGTATTGTATATAAATTGTTAGTTCAAATAATATTTTAAACAGATTTTAATTAGAAAATCAAACAACATAGAAGTGTTTAGGGATAACCACAACAAGAATTTTAGCCAAATTTCATGGAACATGTAAATAGATGAAAATGTGACCTGCCATAGTTCGCAAGTGAAAGCTGATACTTAAGCCTATAGGAAGGAAAGTCAAAGTGAAGCAAATGGACTCAGTGCAGAAACTCCCAGAGGCTCATGACTTGGATCAAAATCACCAAAGTTGGGGGTTTAGGTTGAGGCCGAAAACAAAGTTTGTTTCAAAATTTGATTGAAGAGTATTTAGCCCCTGGATCCTTTTGAATGTAAGCTATATTAGGTTAGAGATATTGTCTGTTATCTTTACTGTTTTATCTCAATTACCTATAACAGTGTTTGGCATATAATCAGAATTAAGTAAATATGTGTTAAGTGACTGAATCTCTTTTCAAACCTAACATAGCAGAAGATTGCTGATCCCTTAATAGAAGCTAGGAAGTTTATTTTTTGAAAACGTTTGCATAACTGAGAAAACTTGTGAGGTGTGTAAACACAGATTCAGAATGTTAAAGTGTACATATTCATCAATGAGACTACCTCTGCGCCCCAGTAGGTCCCATAAAGCTGACATGGAGATTCTTCCCTGCCCCTCCTACGATGCAGGACATTATAGTATCCCTCTGTGGGGATATTAAGTCAGTTGTTCAGTGAAAATTCTAGTTCACTGTCTTATCAATTTGCTTTGAAGCCTAACCTTCAACATACTCCATCCAAGAACTGAGAGATTTCAATTAGCTCCTTCTTAAATGTAAATACAAATTTAAAAAATAAGACCACAAGATATTTAAGAAAAACTTCAATCAAATATATTGACTAAAACAATGAAAAAAGTTATCACAGATAAAATATAAACAATTCAGAGATCAGAAGAAAAATCTCAAAACAACTATAACTATAATCAATATCCCCTAGGAGATAGGAGAAGGCAATGCATTCATGTATTTCTAGTACTATAAAAAACACCCAAGTGTAATAATTCTCTTGGAAATCTAAAATATGACAGTATAAATAAAAAGTCCTTTGCAAGGTTAGATGATAAATTTGAGAAAACTCCCAGAAAATAAAAGGTAAAAAATTGGCTCACAGCAGAAAAAAATGAAGAAATAAAAATGGAATCTTGGGGATGAATAATATTAGTTTACAAGAGAGAATAGAAGAAAATTATGTAAAAGCTAATAAAACTATTTTTTAAAATGAAAGCATCTAGTGCATACCTTACACAATTATTTTAAAAAGACTTATCCACACAAAGATACATTATGAAATTGTAGCCACTAGAAATAAAGATGCCAAAGTCTTCCACAAAGAAAAACAAATAAGCACATCAAGAGGATTAAGTATCTAAATGACATTAACTTCTTAACAATAACAGCAGGTGTTAGAAGAAAATAAGATATGCCTTTCCAATTCTGAAATACATAATTTCCAAACTAGTATTCTATACTTGGTTATCACTCAAATATAAGGATAGATGACATTTATAGAAATGTCATGGTTGCTCCTTATAGTTAAACATCGTTAATGTGGCTGGGTAATTATTCTATAGTGTTTGGGCATGAACTAGTGATAAGCACATAGAAAATCAAGCCACAGTGAGTGTGATGGTTAATTTTAGGTTTCAACTTTATTGGGCTATAGATAGGTGTGTGTATTATATACATAATCTTATATACATATAAGATTATAATTGTCAGGCCTCTGAGCCTAAGCTAAGCCATCATATCCCCTGTGACCTGCACATACATATCCAGATGGCCGGTTCTTGCCTTAACTGATGACATTCCACCACAAAAGAAGTGAAAATGGCCTGTTGCTGCCTTAACTGATGACATTGTCTTGTGAAATTCCTTCTCCTGGCTCATCCTGGCTCAAAAGCTCCCCCACTGAGCACCTTGTGACCCTCCACGCTGCCTGCCAGAAAACAAGCCCCCTTTGACTGTAATTTTCCTTTATCTACCTAAATCCTATAAAACAGCCCCACCCTTATCTCCCTTTGCTGATTCTCTTTTTGGACTCAGCCCAGCTGCACCCATGTGAAATAAACAGCCATATTGCTCACACAAAGCCTGTTTGGTAGTCTCTTCACATGGACACACATGAAATTTGGTGCTGTGACTCGGATTGTGGGACCTCCCTTGGGAGATCAATCCCCTGTCCTCCTGCTCTTTGCTCTGTGAAAAAGATCCACCTACAACCTCAGGTCCTCAGACCCAACAGCCCAAGAAACATCTCACCAATTTTAAATCGGGTAAGCAGCCTCTTCTTCCTCTCTTCTCCAACCTCTCTCACCATCCCTCAACCACTTTCTCCTTTCCACTCTTCAATCTCTCCCTTCTCTTAATTTCAATTCCTTTCATGTTCTGGTAGAGACAAAGGAGACACGTTTTATCCGTGGACCCAAAACTCCGGTGCCGGTCACTGACTGGGAAGGCAGCCTTCCCTTGGTGTTTAATCATTGCAGGGATGCCTCTCTGATTATTCACCCACGTTTCAGAGGTGTCAGACCACTCAGGGACGCCTGCCTTAGTCCTTCACCCTTAGCAGCAAGTCCCGCTTTTCTGCGGGAGAGGCAAGTACCCCAAACCCTTCTCTCCATGTCTCTACCCCTTCTCCGCGTTTCTAGGGGGCAAGAAACCCCCAACCCCTTCTCCTTCACCCTTAGCGGCAAGTCCCGCTTTTCTGGGGGAGGGGCAAGTACCCCAACCTCGTATCTCTGTGCCCCGATCCCTTATTTCCATGCCCCCACCTCTTATAGCTCTGCACCCTGATCCCTTATTTCCATGTCCCGACCTCGTATCTCTGCGCCCCGAACCCTTTCCCGCTTTTCTGGAGGGTAAGAACCCCTGAAACGCTTCCTTCCGTGTGTCTACTCTCCCTTTTCTTTAAACTTGCCTCCTTCACTATAGGCAACCTTCTACCCTCCATTCCTCCTTCTTCTCCCTTAGCCTGTGTTCTAAAGAACATAAAACCTCTTCAACTCTCGCCTGACCTAAAACCTAAATGTCTTATTTTCTTCTACAATGCCACTTGACCCCAGTACAAACTCGACAGTGGTTCTAAATGGCCAGAAAATGGCACTTTCGATTTCTCCATCCTACAAGACCTAAATAATTTTTGTCAAAAAATAGGCAAATGGTCTCAGGTGCCTGACGTCCAGGCACTCTTTTACACATCAGTCACTCCCTAGTCTCTCTTCCCAATGCAACTAGTCCCAAATCTTCCTTCTTTCCCTCCTGCCTGTCCCCTCAGTCCCAACCCCAAGCATCACTGACCCTTTCTAATCTTCCTTTTCTACAGACCCATCTGACCTCTCCCCTCCTTGCCAGGCTGAGCTAGGTCCCAATTCTTCCTCAGCCTCTGCTCCTCCACCCTATAATCCTTTTATCACCTCCCCTCCTTGAGAGGTGACAGCGTGCTGGCAGTCCTCAGAGCCCTCGCTTGCTCTCGGCGCGTCCTCTGCCTGGGTTCCCACTTTGGCGACACTTGAGCCCTTCAGCCCACCGCTGCACTGTGGGAGCCCCTTCCTGGGCTGGCCAAGGCCAGAGCCAGCTCCCTCAGCTTGCAGGGAGGTGTGGAGGGATAGGCACGAGCGGGAACCGGGGCTACACGCAGTGCTTGTGGGCCAGCTGGAGTTCCAGGTGGGCATGGGCTTGGCGGGCCCCGCACTCGGAGCGGCCAGCTGGCCCTGCTGGCCCCGGGCATTGAGGGGCTTAGCACCCAGAACAGCGGCTGCGGAGGGTGTACTGGGTCCCCCAGCAGTGCCAGCCCACCAGCGCTGCACTCGATTTCTCACCGGGCCTTAGCTGCCTTCCCGCGGGGCAGGGCTCAGGATCTGCAGCCCGCCATGCCTGAGCCTCCCACCCCCTCCGTGGGCTCCTGTGCGGCCTGAGCCTCCTTGACAAGCGCCACCCCCTGCTCCATGGCGCCCAGTCCCATCGACCATCCAAGGGCTGAGGAGTGCGAGCGCACGGCACGAGACTGGCAGGCAGCTCCACCTGCAGCCCCAGTGCGGGATCCACTAGGTGAAGCCAGCTGGGCTCCTGAGTCTGGTGGGGACGTGGAAAGACTTTATGTCTAGCTCAGGGATTGTAAATACGCCAATCAGCACTCTGTATCTAGCTCAAGGTTTGTAAACACACCAATCAGCACCCTGTGTTTAGCTCAAGGTTTGTGAGTGCACCGATCGACACTCTGTATCTAGCTGCTCTGGTGGGGCCTTGGAGAACCTTTGTGTCGATACTCCGTATCTAACTAATCTGATGGGGACGTGGAGAACCTTTGTATCTAGCTCAGGGATTGTAAATGCACCAATCAGCACCCTGTCAAAACAGGCCACTGGGCTCTACCAATCAGCAGGATGTGGGTGGGGCCAGATAAGAGAATAAAAGCAGGCTGCCTGAGCCAGCATTGGCAACCCGCTCGGGTCCCCTTCCACACTGTGGAAGCTTTGTTCTTTTGCTCTTTGCAATAAATCTTGCTACTGCTCACTCTTTGGGTCCACACTGCTTTAATGAGCTGTAACACTCACCGCGAAGATCTGCAGCTTCACTCCTGAGCCCAGCAAGACCACGAGCTCACCGGGAGGAATGAACAACTCCAGACGCGCTGCCTTAAGAGCTACTCACCGCAAACGTCTGCAGCTTCACTCCTGAGCCAGCGAGACCACAAACCCACCAGAAGGAAGAAACTCCGAACACATCTGAACATCAGAAGGGACAGACTCCAGACGCGCCACCTTAAGACGTGTAACACTCACCGCGAGGGTCCACGGCTTCATTCTTGAAGTCAGTGAGACCAAGAACCCACCAATTCCGGACACATCCTCACAGCTGGTCCAGTTTACAGTTTTGTTCCGCGACTAGCCCTCCCCCACCTGCCCAGCAATTTCCTCTTAAAAAGGTGGCTGGAGCAAAAGGCACAGTCAAGGTTAATGCTCCTTTTTCTTTATCCAACCTCTCCCAAATTAGTTAGCATTCAGACTCTTTTTCATCAAATATAAAAAATCCAGCCCAGTTCATGGCTCGTTCGGCAGCAACCCTGAGACGCTTTACAGCCCTAGACCCTAAAAGGTCAAAAGGCCATCTTATTCTCAATATACATTTTATTACCCAATCTGCTCCTGACATTAAATAAAACTCCAAAAAATAGATTCTGGCCCTCAAACCCCACAACAGGACTTAATTAACCTAACCTTCAAGGTGTACAATAATACAGGCAGCCAAGTAGCAACATATTTCTGAGTTGCAATTCTTTGCCTCCACTGTGAGACAAACCCCAGCCACATCTCCAGCACACAAGAACTCCAAACGCCTGAACCGCAGCTGCCAAGGGTTCCTCCAGAACCTCCTCCCCCAGGAGCTTGCTACAAGTGCTGGAAATCTGGCCACTAGGCCAAGGAATGCCCACAGCCCAGGATTCCTCCTAAGCCATGTCCCATCTGTGTAGGACCCCACTGAAAATTGGACTGTTCAACTCACCTTTCAGCCACTTCCAGAGTCCCTGGAACTCTGGCCCAAAGCTCTCTGACTGACTCCTTCCCAGATCTTCTCGGCTTAGCAGCTGAAGACTGACACTGCCCGATCACCTCAGAAGCCTACAGGACCATCAGAGATACTCTTGGTAACTCTCACAGTGGAAAGTAAATCCGTCCCCTTCTTAATACGGAGGCTACCCACTCCACATTACCTTATTTTCAAAGGCCTGTTTCTCTTGCCTCCATAACTGTTGTGGGTATTGACGGCCAGGCTTCTAAACCTCTTAAAACTCCCCAACTCTGGTGCCAACTTAGACAATACTCTCTTAAGCACTCCTTTAATTATCCCCACCTGCCCAGTTCCCTTATTAGGCCGAGACACTTTAACTAAATTATCTGCTTCCCTGACTATTCCTGGACTACAGCAACACCTCATTGCCACCTTTTCCCCCAGTTCAAAGCCTCCTTCACATCCTCCCTTTGTATCCCCCGACCTTAACCCACAAGTATAAGACACCTCTACTCCTTCCTTGGTGACCGATCATGCACCCCTTACCATCCCATTAAAACCTAATCACTCTTACCCCGCTCAATGCCAATATCCCATCCCACAGCATGCTTTGAAAAGATTAAAGCCTGTTATCACTTGCCTGTTACAGCATGGCCTTTTAAAGCCTATAAACTCTCCTTACAATTCCCCCATTTTAGCTGTCCTAAAACCAGACAAGCCTTACAGGTTAGTTCAGGATCTGCGCCTTATCAACCAAATTGTTTTGCCTATCCACCCCGTGGTGCCAAACCCATATACTCTCCTATCCTCAATACCTCCCTCCACAATCCATTATTCTGTTCTGGATCTCAAACATGCTGTCTTTACTATTCCTTTGCACCCTTCACCCCAGCCTCTCTTTGCTTTCGCTTAGACTGACCCTGACACCCATTAGGCTCAGCAAATTACCTGGGCTGTACTGCCGCAAGGCTTCACAGACAGCCCCCATTACTTCAGTCAAGCCCAAATTTCATCCTCATCTGTTACCTATCTCGGCATAATTCTCATAAAAACACACGTGCTCTCCCTACTGATCGTGTCCGATTAATCTCCCGAAACCTCAATCCCTTACAAAATAACTCCTTTCCTTCCTAGGCATGGTTAGTGTGGTCAGAATTCTTACACAAGAGCCAGTACCGCACCCTGTAGCCTTTCTGTCCAAACAACTTGAGCTTACTGTTTTAGCCTAGCCGTCATGTCTCCGTGGAGTGGCTGCTGCCACCCTAATACTTTTAAAGGCCCTCAAAATCACAAACTATGCTCAACTCGCTCTCTACATTTCTCATAACTTCCAAAATCTATTTTCTTCCTCATACCTGACACATATACTTTCTGCTCCCCGGCTCCTTCAGCTGTACTCACTCTTTGTTAAGTCCCACAATTACCACTGTTCCTGGCCCGGACTTCAATCCGGCCTCCCACATTATTCCTGATACCACACCTGACCTCCATGACTCTATCTCTCTGATCCACCTGACATTCACCCCATTTCCCCATATTTCCTTCTTTCCTGTTCCTCACCCTGGTCACACTTGATTTATTGATGGCAGTTCCACCAGGCCTAATCGCCACACACCAGCAAAGGCAGGCTATGTATAGTACAAGCCACTAGCCTGCCTCTTAAAACCTCTCATTTCCTTTCCATGGTAGAAATCTATCCTCAAGGAAATAACTTCTCAGTGTTCCATCTGCTATTCTACTACTTATCAAGGATTATTCAGGCCCCCTCCCTTCCCTACACATCAGGCTTGAGGATTTGCCCCCACCCAGGACTGGCAAATTAGCTTTACTCAACATGCCCCGAGTCAGATAACTAAAATACCTCTTAGTCCAGGTAGACACTTTCACTAGATAAGTAGAGGCCTTTCCTACAGGGTCTGAGAATGCCACCGCAGCCATTTCTTCCCTTCTGTCAGACATAATTCCTCAGTTGAGCCTTTCCACCCCTATACAGTCTGATAACAGATCAGCCTTTATTAGTCAAATCAGCCAAGCATTTTTTCAGGCTCTTAGTATTCAGTGAAACCTTTATATCCCTTACAGTCCTCAGTCTTCAGGAAAAGTAGAACAGACCAATAGTCTATTAAAAACACACCTCACCAAGCTCAGCCACCAACTTAAAAAAGACTAGACAATACTTTTACCACTTTCACTTCTCAGAATTCAGGCCTGTCCTCGGAATGCTACAAGGTACAGCCCATTTAAGCTCCTGTATAGATGCTCCTTTTTATTAGGCCCCAGTCTCATTCCACACACCAGACCAATTTAGACTGTGCCCCAAAAAACTTGTCATCCCTACTATCTTCTGTCTAGTCATACTCCTATTCATCGTTCTCAACTACTCATACGTGCCCTGCTCTTGTTTACACTGCCAGTTTACACTGTTTCTCCAAGTCATCACAGCTGATATCTCCTGGTGCTATCCCCAAACCACCACTCTCAACTCTTAAAGTAAATAAATAATCTTTACTGGCAAGGCTATGCTGAATCTCCTTGGGCACTCTCTAATTAGATGTCCTAGGTCCTCCCAATTCTTAGTCCTTTAATGCCTGTTTTTCTCCTTCTCTTATTCTGTTTAGTTTTTCAATTCATACAAAACTGTATCCAGGCCATCACCAATAATTCTACAAGACAAATGTTTCTTCTAACAACCCCACAATATCACCCCTTACCAAAAAATCTTCCTTCGGCTTAATCTCTCCTACTGTAAGTTCCCACGCCACCCCTAATCTCACCCGAAGCAGCCCTGAGAAACATCGCCCATTATCTCTCCATACTACCCCCCAAAAATTTTTGCCGTCCCAACACTTTACCACTATTTCGTTTTATTTTTCCTATTAATACAAGAAGACAGGAATGTCAGGCCTCTGAGCCCAAGCTAAGCCATCATATCGCCTGTGACCTGCACATACACATCCTGATGGCCGGTTCCTACCTTAACTGATGACATTCCACCACAAAAGAAATGAAAATGGCCTGTTCCTGCCTTAACTGATGACATTGTCTTGTGAAATTCCTTCTCCTGGCTCATTCTGGCTCAAAAGCTCCCCTACTGAGCACCTTGTGACCCCCCCACTCTGCCCGCCAGAGAAGAAGCCCCCTTTGACTGTAATTTTCCTTTATCTACCCAAATCCTATAAAACAGCCCCACCCTTATCTCCCTTCGCTGACTCTCTTTTCGGACTCAGCCCGCCTGCACCCAGGTGAAATAAACAGCCATGTTGCTCACACAAAGCCTGTTTGGTGGTCTCTTCACAGGGACGCACATGAAAATAATATTATAAGAATAATATAGTATAATATATACTATAATACTATAATCATATACTATCATAAGAATACTAAAGAGTAATATATTCTATGTTTTCAAATATATATATATATATATATACATATGGTTCTACCAGTTCTTTTTCTCTGGAGGACCCTGACTTATTCAATAACAATACATAAAAAGATCAAGCAAATGCAGATGTAATTTTATCATTCTATATAGCTTATGTGTACATTTCTATATTCAATATTGTATAAGCAATACCTATTGAAATAACCAAAACTGTATATAACTTTATTGGTGAGTTACGGGGAGGTAAGTTTTTAAAATGACACAAAAATACTGTTACAGATTGAGTACTTTAGGAGCAGACAGATGATGTTTGGGTTGTAAGATGTGAACAAAAAGAGGAGCCATTAAGCCTGGGAAGGAGAAGTCACACCCTAATGCAGTCCCACAAAACCTCATTCAACTGAGTGAGTTTATCTGAAGTGTGTATTCTTTGTTAGAGTTGTCCCACAAATGGTGCAAATGGTGACTCCTTCATATTTCCACTTCTCTCAGCCACTGGGAGTGGCCTTCACGGAAAGAGTGTGTTTTCGAATAAGGCAGCTCTCTGCAGCTGATTCACATTCTGAAGCAATTGACAGGTGGAGGCTGTCTGACGACGAAACTCCCCACAGCTGGGAAGAAAATCCTTCCTAAGCAGCTATATATTATAAATAATATAGCTTACAGTATTTACATTTCAAATTGAAAATAATAAATATTTAAATGATAAAGTTATTATTTTAAAATGATGCTTGATTTTGAAATATTTTAATAGTCATATGTAGTTGCAGAGATAGTACAGAGATACAATCTACTCTTTACCCAGCTTCCCATGATAATATTATATGAAATCATAACCCAATATTAAACCCGGGAAATTGACAGTGGTACAATACTATCAAATGCAGACTGCTATTGTTTGAATGAGGGTGTCCGGTCCAAAATTCATGTTGAAAGTTAATCCCCTATGGAACAGTATTAAGATGTGTAGTTTTTAGGAGCTGATTAAGTCATAAGGGCTTCATTTTCATTAATGGCATCTGATGCCCTTATAAAAGGGCTTAGCAGAGGAAGTTCACCCCCTTTTTGTTTCTTCTGTCCGTTTCACCATGTGAGGAAAGTGTTCTTCCCCTCTGGAGGCAAGATGTCTTCTTGGAGGTAGACAGTAGCCCCATGAAACAATAAACCTGCTGGCATCTCGATCTTGGACTTTCCAACCTCCACAAATATAATAAATTAATTTCTATTGTTTACAAATTATCCAGTGTTGATATTTTGTTATAGCAGCGCAAAAAGAGTAAGACATAGGCTTAATTCAGATTTCACCAGTGTACACCTGTACTTTGTGTGTGTGTGTGTGTGTGTGCATGCGTTTAGTTTCAGAAAATTCTTATCACATGTACGGATCTAAGTAACCATCAATACAATTGGAATGTAGAACCATTCTAGCATCACAGGGAAACTCTGTCATATTATTTCTTAATAATCACCCACTCTTCCCCCAACCCTGATTCCCAGCAACAACAAATATTTTCTCCATCCCTCCATCCCCAACAATTTAGGGATTGTGGAATTCTACCTTACGTAACTCCTTAAGATTGCCCTGTCCCTTACTCTCCTCTTTGAGAGTCATCCAAATTATGGCATTAACAATTGTATTGAGAATTTCTTTTGTTGCTGAGTAGTATTATATCGTAAAGATGTATCAACTTGAAGGAAATTTGGGTTGTTTCCAGTTTTCAGCTATTATAAATAAGGTTATTATGAACATTCGTGTACAAGAGTTTGTGGGAAAATAAGTTTTCATAATTATCTCAAAATGAAAATAACCAATATTCATTGATTGATAAATGGATAAACAAATTGTTTCATATCCATACAATGGAATACTACTTAGTAATAAGAATAAAAGGACTCCTGATACCTCCAAAACTTTAAATAAATTTTAAGCATTTTATGTTAAGAGAAAAGGGCTACAAATAAAAGCTATCGTATATGAATTCTATTTCAGGTAGAGGACTTTTAAAGGAAAGACTAGATTAGTTTCAACTCTATAATTGATTGATAAAGTCCACTTTGAGCTATGATCCAGTGGCAGATAATATTGTCGGAGTTCTTAATGGGCATCTCTAATAAATCTGAGTGAGGTACAGAAAGTTTTATAACTGAGGTAAGACAACCATAATGGTCCTCTCCTTCTGGTAGGGGCAGGAGAGGGGCAGGATTCAGGGTGTTGTGTTGATGAATACAAACGTTAAAGAGAGAGAGTAACTGCATCCTGTAAAAGGGTGATCAGCTGGCCGAAAAGCGTTGTGCGTTCTCAGTCACTAGCAATATTTCCACTGCATGAGAAACCATGAGGTCAAGTGTGGAGACTAGAAAAAATTTAGCAGAAGCTATCTTTGATTCAGAATTTTATTTGGAGGCCTCTGCATACATACTGCAGAAAATGCTGCCCATTGGGCCTGGCAAATTATTTTCTTTCTTTTCTAAAGATTCTCTGGAATGAGCAATTTTGTTCAAATCAAGTGTTCCCCGGAGTTGCTAGTGTAGGCCCAAATCATCCTTGGTAGAATTATGCCATTTAGAAAGAGAAGCACAAAATTTAGGATTGTAATGAATGTCCAAGTAAGAGCAGGGTTTTTTTTTTTGTTTGTTTGTTTGTTTTTTTCTGGAAGAGGAAAAGATTTAGATGTATACAACCCCATGAGAGCTGGCAAAGGTCAATAGGAATGTAAGGCTTATGCACTTTGTGTCTCAGGCCCCCAACCCAACAATTTTTACACCCCACCAGCAGGTAGAAACCTCTCTGCCGATGAAAACTCAGCTCTCAGGACACAAATTGTGGATGAAGGAGAACCTCATCCAGTTTCATTGATGACTCATACAAAAGTTTGTCAAGTGAATGCCAGTCCAAATGTAACCATCTGTCAAGCTAGCTTGAACAATGGGCTGATACGTACTTTCTACCCTATAATATTCCCTATTATGACAAACACATGATTGGATACCCCAACACAAAACGATAACACAAAAGACAGCAAATGAGGTATAAAGGAGTAGCCTGATTCTACCAAAGATGCCAAACAAATGGCAGCCAATAACAAAACCCAGGTTCTAAACTTAAAAAATAGTCAAGTATATCAATACAAAGAAAGCAGAGTTCAGACGCAGTGCTGAGTTACAATATCAGTGCAGACTCCAGCAGAAAGACACAAGGGGCCTTGGAGAGTATGCACCTGATTGAAGGCTGGGCTCTGCTACCATGCTGTCTCCATCGGACCTCCAGGAAAACACTTGAAATAAATGGAGATGACCCAACGGAAAATGTAAGAGCCCATTTATTCAGATTTCACCACAGCAAGAGAGTCAGCCATCATCACTTGATTTTGGCAGAGACTCAAAGGCAGACAGGGGAACACAGGGAAGCCTTCAGGTAATCCCTGATTGGAGGTTTGGGGCATGTAGAAATTGGAGATGGGGTAACTAGAAGTGGGTATCCTATATGATTGGTTAAGGGAGCATATTTGGCTCTGTCTGCTCCTATCTTTACAGTGGAGATGGGAATTAGAGAAAAATGTTTGTTATTAATTGAGTTCTGTCTGTTTTGGGCCAATTGCTGCAGAGTTTGTGGTTTACCTTTCTGGACTGTTTGCTACAGATTGTGGGTCAGAGTTCTATTTTTATATATGGTATTTTTATATATGGTTTGACTATTGTCCCTTAGTATATTCAATATTTCAGGCACTTGCTAAGAACTTTGAGGTGGGGGAAAATGATAAGTTGAAAAGAGCAGGAGGGAAATATGTTAATTGTAGCTCAACATACCTGACTTTAACAAATTAAATTATATATGTTAGTTTTATGATTGTCTCCAGAAAATTTCAACAGTTTTTATGTGAGAATTGAACTGCATACAAATTTTCATTCAGTGTCAGTAAAATGGAAGGAGAGAGAGTTGAAGGAGTCAAAAGAAATTGCAAAGTGTGGGTGTCCTATACCATAGAATCAAGGCTGATCTAAGAGGAAAGTTAATCGAAGAAGGAATTGATGAGTGGTATAAAAATGGTGGGGTCAAGGACCTCAATGAGAAAAAAGAATTTCATCGATGAAACTCATCGAGCCAGTGAGCCTGAAGGAAGCCAGTGATGGTCAGGTGGATGTTTGAAAATTATGATTTCACAGATGATGCAGTTTCTACTAGTGAGAAATTCTAGGTCTGGCTATAGAATAGTTTAAAAATTGGTGAAAATAAAAAGTCCAAGCAACTGATCAGTCATGGTGAAGGATGGATCAAACATGTAGATGGTAGGGGCAACGTGAATGATACAGAAGTTTCAGTGGAGTGGAAGAATGAAATGCATTTGCTAAAGTTATTAATAAGTAATGGGGAATATCACTAGGTTGGTGATGAACAGGAACAGGAAGTGGGAGAGGTAATGGGGTCAAATTGCACAAGGCTAAAAGGAAAATAATTTTTTGCTTCATTTTAAGAAGTGAGATAGATAGAATTTTGAAACGGAAGTTACATCGATTAGTGCGCAGGAAACCCATCAACTTACTACCCAATCTTGGCATATCAAGAGTGTTTGAGAATCAGCAGCTTCTAATGAAAAAGGCTGTGCTAGGGATGTAGTGTCTCAGGAGATAGTCAAATTTTAGTTCCAGCAAAAAGCTGTGATAGGAAAGAGGTTGAGGGTATATGGGAGCTATTGAAAAGAACTGGGAGACTCATGTGAGTGTCAACTGCCTCCCCGTATTATTTGTGGTGCTGGTACCAACATTCCTTATGGTGCTTTGCTTTCTGCCTGTCTAGCATCTGTCCTCCTCATTGGTCATCTCTGGCTTCCTTGGCTATTTGTCAATTCACCTTAATCTAATGTACTCAACTCATCCCCCCTTCTTCTGCCACCAGAGACATGTATCTAACCATTTCATGGGAGGAAAGAAAGACAAGAAGGAAGAGAAGGAGGAAGCAATGAAGAAAACAATGAGCAATATTTTCTCCCTCATTTTAGGTTACCAGTCTTTTCCCCACTTCTCTTCTAGATCACTCCTGTTCTGTGCTTTTGACCAGGCAGTGGAACTATTGCTTTGTTCTTTCCTTATGTCATTCATGCATCTTAGGTGTGCTGTTAGTTACGTAACATATGCAAAAATCTACCAATAGGACACTATAAGATATTTAAACATGTTGCTTAAATGTTTATTACTATTATAAAAAAGGTAAAAGCATTGACATAAAAGTGGCATTTTTTCCTAATAAAATCACAAATTGTCCTGAAAGAATTTTTTTCTCTTTCTAAATATATTTTGGAGATTTAGGCTTCTCTGTCAAATAACTGAAATGCTTTTGAACCATTATTTGTATCATTTTCCCTTTCCCCCAAATCCCAGAATGTTAACGCAAAAGTAAATTTTGATAGGCAAAACAAGGATTAGAAAATATGAACAGAAGTTATATCTGGCTGCTTAGCTTGCTGGGGATATAATAGCAATTTGAGGCTTACATACTTATTGTACACACATGACCTTTACAATGCTATGGTAAACTCAATATCACAGTTGCTTATTAGTACACTAGTAGTAGAAATCTTCTAATATGAATGAATGTGTGTATTTTCAATATTCAGGGTATTAGGAGAGCTTTTATTCTAGTCTCTGGAAATACAGCTTTCCATATCTTAAGTAAATTTTATTTCTAACTCTACCAGGAGCAAGCATAATTTTTATAAAACAAACTAAACAAACTGAAGTTCCTTTAACTCAACCCAGGCAGCCTGGCCACACACACACACACACACACACACACACACACACACACACACAAAATCAAACTCAGATACTTTCTCTACTACTTTCAGTGGATCTGAAACCATAATTGATTTCTGCAAAAACTATTATTTTAATGCTTTACTACTCGTTTTATTACTGATTATTACACTGAAAAGAAAGAAAGCAAGAAATAAAAGAAGAAAAAGGGAAGGAAGAAAGAAAGAAAGGAAACAGCTGATGATGTGTAAGCAAACAAAGATATTCAGTCCCTTTCTTATAATATTCGTTTTTTAAGCTTATCTGTAATTAACTGCTTGTGGAACATAACTGAATTGAATGTTTACTAGTTAATTCAAAACCATTTAATCTATATTGGGAATATTAAAATGCAATGGATAATTGCTGGTTATCACAGCTGAAACAAATTAAAATGTCAGCCCCATTGATTCTTTTTTTTTTTTTTTTTTTTGCTAATGTGAATAAAAACAGAAACACCAGCATGAGCATGTATATACATATAACCTCATATATATCTCTGCAAGAAATTTATTTGGGGCCATGAACAGTGGTTCACTCTAATCCCAGCACTTTGGGAGGTTGAGGCATGATACAGGAGGATCACTTGAGCCCACCAGTTAGACACCAGCCTGTATAACACAATGGGACCCTACCTCTATGAGAGAGAGAAACGTATTTGGTGCTATCATGTTCCTCATTCTTAGATGCATCCCAAAGATGACTAACCAGCTAACTAAAGTGCACTTTATTATTCACACTAAAGGAGAATGAAAAACACAAGATGATTTAAAAAATCCCTTTGGGATTATACCCTTGCTCCATGCCAACAGTTCATTCTGACTATAAAGTGCAGAAAAGTTATCTGGGATTATAGGTTTTTAGTTATTTATTGTAACAGCTTAAAAGGTTGAGGTAATTCTTAACTAGATATTTAAATTCTCATAAAAAAATAACTTAGTTACTTAGTATTGCTATTTTTCAGTGACTAAAAACTTTAGTCAAAGAATAACATCTAATAAGTTGCCTAGTCTGGGAAGCAAAACTTAAAAAATAAAACAATTTCAGAAGCTATGCTTATACCATAAAAGTCACATGTTCATAAAAATCACAAAACTATATATAATAGTAAATGAGTGTCATCCCATTAAACTTCCATTCATGAATTACATGATACGTTATTTTATTTTGAGATGTAACCCCTTCATAAGCAGTTTAGTCAGTTGGTTTCACACTGTAACATCTTGTCAGTGCATGACCGATGCTCAGTGCCAGCCCTTAAAAATATTAATACCCCTTTAATTGAATGAGTTTAGATATGTACAATTTCTAAATTACCTTGGGTTTGTCCTGCCTAGATTATTATGTCATTTACAGAAGCTATCATTTCTCTACTAAAATCTAATAGTGTACACTTTCCATAATCTTGCTCAGATTACTCACCCAGGGCTGACAAATTGAGTGGCATCTAATGTTAACACATTTCTTCAAGAGAAATAATAACCAAAATATTATTTGAGACTACTGTCTTCTATGCACTGCTGTCTCTCAATTTCCTCTCACTTTTCTGTTTGCCTCTCACTTCTCTACTCCACTACCCCAGGATTCTTAATCTCCCACAAAAAGAGCAATCTCACTTTTAGCTGTGCTTTGGATTCTCTTATTTAATTTTAGGGAGCCATCACTCCTCACAGAACTTTTTCCCACTTTTGCTAATCTCCATTCTAAACTCACTCCATTGCATTTTTAGTACTCACAGTGAATTACATAAGCAGAGAATGATTCCTTTACCTTCTTGCCTTGATTCCTAGAAACCTGGCCAAAAGAACTAAGACACTGTCCTTTAAATCTCACACACTCCTTGCCAGAAGTGGCTTACTTCTGGTTCCACTTCATTACTTCTCTGTTCAGTCTTTCCTCCGTGGAAACTGTTAAATATGGTTTTGACATTCTTTTTGCATTTCTGTGTTTTATTAATCCATATTCACTGCCTATTTTAGTGCCTGGCTTCCAGTTTCCTCAAATTACTTTGTACAGTATGGGCACTTCAACAATCATATTGATGACAAATCTAACCCACTAATTTAAAAGATTTTTTTAACCTTTCTTACTCTAGAACAAGGGTAGGAAAACAACACATATTTAGGATTATATTTCTTCTGTTAATTTTCTGAAACAATTCAGCCTCCCTGATTATTTACTATTCTCTCAGCATGCCATGGAACTTCACACCTCTGTGCCTTTGTTTATGCTATTTTCTTGATCTGAAATATACTTCCTGTGATATAACCACTTAATTCAAATGTGACTACAGTTCTTTCTGTTGTTGTTGTTGAGACAATGTCTCGCTTTGTTGCCCAGGCTGGAGCACAGTGGTGCAATCTCGGCTCACTGCAACCTCTCCCTCCGAGGTTCAAGTGATTCTCCTGCCTCAGCCTCCCAAGTAGCTGGGATTACAGGCTTGTGCCACCAAGCCTGGCTAATTTTTTTGTATTGTTAGTAGAAATGGGGTTTCATCACATTGGCCAGGCTGGTCTTGAACTCCTGGTCTCAAGTGATTCACTTGCCTTGGTCTCCCAAAGTGGTGGGATTACAGGCGTGAGCCACCGCGCCCAGCCCAAATGTGACTATAAGTCTTTATCTTACCTTGTTGGCAATGCTGAAGTAGTGGGAGATTTTTTAAGAGTAGTGATGAAATAATTTTTTAGCTTTGAATCCCCAAATCAGTGCCTAGAAAGTCATAATCCCTCAATTAATGTTTACTGAATTGAATGTGTTTGAACTAACTTGAGTTAAATACATAAGGAAACATTCTAAATAAAACAAGATCATAGATCAGAACTTCTGTTTTCATTTCTCCATGCTTGGCTCTCCCTGAAATCCTAAGAAAGGAGATTCAATATAATTTAATCATAAAATATGAGAAATTCCAAATATTATTACAAATCAAAAGTTAATCAATCAGTAGGCAGCCTTATATTGCTCTAACTGGATCCCAGTCTTAATGTCATTACACATCCTCTAGGTATACAATTTTATGGATAAAATTCTTTCCATAGTGAGTGATTTTACTGCATTTGTTATGTTCAGTGGCTATCAGATTGAAAACTATATTTTGGGGATCTGGTTTTCTTATCAACTGGCAATGATAAATAAATAGACTATTTTTTTTTTCTGTTTCAAAATTCAAGTCTGCAGTTGAATACCAAAAAAAAAAAAAATCCCACTTTCTTTCAGAGAATTTCAAATCCTTTACATGTAGTGAATGACCCCATCAGTCTTTGCCAGAGTGAGAAGTTCTCACTCTGTGAGACAACTGTGAAAAACTGGGAAGTAATATTAGAAAATAGATATGGTATTCTGGCTATTTTGTAGAAATGTTTTAGAAAGATTTTTATGACTAAGAAATCATAACGATCAGGGTAATACTTTCTTCAGTTGTCAAAGTTATCATCAGATCAAAGAAGTCCAAAAATTTATTCAGGGAGCAGAGGGATTTAATTCCATTCAGGAATGATATAACAGTAAGATTTATCATTGTGAAAGTAATACAAGTCATGTATAGAAAGAGAAAAATATATAGAGACTATACATAACAACTCATTAATGTGCAATCCTTTTATGTTTTTCCCTTTCTATTTCTCCTAAAGTGCTGATTGATTTCCTTAAACCCATTTCTTGTTTTGTCCCTATAATTGCCAATGGCACATATATGAGGCAATTGGCCAAAATTAAAGGCAGTACAAAGTCACAGAAAACATGAGAACTAATTGACAATGATGAACGCAGAGAATTTAACCACATATCATTTGCATGAGACTGTGATACAGTATTATTATGTGATAAGAATTTTTCTAAAATATTATCTAAAAGCACATAGTTATTTGATGTTGTAATCAGAACTAGTACTTATATTTTTACTATTATTCTTTCATCTTGTTCTATTCAACAGAGTACCAACAACAAAATTAAATTAAGTATTGTACCAAGTAAACTACTATAATATTTTGTGTAAAAATTATCAAGGATTTCTATAATTAAGAATTTCTATAATAATTAGATACCACATATGTTGTAGCAATAAAATTTTTAGCAATAAGTTCAACTGGTTATATGTATTAAAAACTTTAGTGGAAAAATGTCCAAATTATTCCATGGAAAGATATATTTTCCTCAATTATCAGTAAGTTATTTTTTTATTTTGTATTCTCATTGTTTTATCTTAATTAAATTTGATTACTTCAAGTTGTACCATTAAAAAAGAGGGAAAATTGGTCTGTTTGCAAATGCCAGTTGACAAACCACTAAGTACCAGTCTTCTAAATATGGTATTAAATGAATCATGATTATTGAAACTGAGTTTTGCTTGTCATTGCTAAATGTCAGAGAAAAAGATTTTCACCATCTCATTTGTCCAAAGTCCCTTGCCAATGATTATTTAACCTTTGAATGCACTAGATTGTAATACCAAGAAAAATTTAATACTATTTAGAATGAAAAATGTATTTGCTATGGTAACTCCCAAATTAAAAACTCAATTGTAGATTATATGGTCACCTGTAAATACTGTGTCATGACTGGAGCCGTTAATACATGAATCATTCAGAAACAGTGTTATAAATACTAGTTCATCTCAGTTTTTCAAAATTCATATTTAATCCCTAAGTAATATGGAACAATACACTAAAATACTTAAATGCATTTAAGAGAAATTAAAGTATAAATGTTAATTGGCTGTGATTTTTTGCCTGAGTGAAAGCAAGCTTCATCATAGAAAAATGGGAAGTTAGATGGATACGCCCTGGAGCTTCTATACATGGATATTTGCAAGAGCTGTAGAGGTTTATGTCATCTGTTTTAATGTGTATAGTTTAATTACCAAACATATATCTTTTGCTTTTTCTTCTTGAAAGTGTTTCACTTTTTATTTGTAAAGTAATTAGTGATGGCTTAATACAATGAAGTAAGTAAATATAAATAAAATTAATCAAAGAAATAAAAGGAATGATAGAATCAAATAAAAAACAGAGGGATAAAAAAACAATATTACAGAGAAGCAAGTAGTTTACATTTATCACAAGCAAATGGGCAAGTATTAGAAAAGAGGAAAAATGGAAGCCATTTAAAAGTATCTTCTGGATGGGGTGGCTTGCAAGATGGCCAAATAGTAACATCTTCGTCTGCAGCTTTCAGCAAGATCAATGCAGAGGGCAGGTGATTTCTGCATTTCCAACTGAGGTACATGACTTATCTCATTGGGACTGGTTAGACAGTGGGTGCAGCCCATGGAGGGTGAGCCGAAGCAGAGTGGTATGTCACCTCTACTGGGAAGCACAGGGGGTCAGGGAACTCCCTCCCCTAGCCAAAGGAAGCCTTGAGGGACTGTGCCATGAGGTACGGTGCACTCCAGCCCAGATACTGTGCTTTTCCCAAGGTCTTCTCAGCCCTCAGACCAGGGGATTCCCTCGGGTGCCTACACCAACAGGGCCCTGGGTTTTAAGCACAAAACTGGGTGGCTGTTTGGGCAGACACCAAGCCAGCTGCAGGAGTTTTTTTTTTCATACCCCAGTGGCACCTGGAACCCCAGTGAGACAGAACTGTTCACTCCCCTGGAAAGGCGGCTGAAGCCAGGGAGCCAAGTGGTCTCGCTCAGTGGATCCCAGCCCCACAAAGCCCAGCAAGATACGATCCACTGGCTTGAAATTCTCGCTGCCAGCACAGCAGGCTGAAGTGGATCTCGGATGCTGGAGCTTGGTGGGGGGAGGGGCATCCACCATTACTGAGGCTTGAGTAAGCTGTTTTCCCTTCACAGTGTAAACAAAGCCTCCAGGAAGTTCAAACTGGGCGGAGCCCACCACAGCTCTGCAAAGCCATTGTAGCCAGACTCCCTCTCTAGATTCCTCCTCTCTGGGCAGGGCATCTCTGAAAGAAAGGCAGCGGCCCCAGTCAGGGGCTTAAAGAGAAAACTCCCATCTCCCTGACACAGAGCACCCGGGGGAAGGGGCAGCTGTGTCTGCTGCTTCAGCAGACTTAAATGCTACTTCCTGCCAGCTCTGAAGAGAGCAGCAGATCTCCCAGCACAGTGCTCTAGCTCTGCTAAGGGACAAACTGCCTCCTCAAATGGGTTCCTGACCCCCGTGCCTCCTGAGGGGAGACACCTCCCAGCAGGGGTCGACAGACACCTCATACAGGAGAGCTCTGGCCAGCATCTGGTGGGTGCCCCTCTGGGACAAAGCTTCCAGAGGAAGGAACAGAAAGCAATCTTTGCTGTTCTGCAGCCTCCGCTGGTGGTACCCAGGCAAAAGGGGTCTGGAGTGGACCTCCAGCAAACTCCAGCAGACCTGCAGCAGAGGGGCCTGACTGTTAGAAGGAAAACTAACAAATAGAAAAGAATAGCATCAACATCAACAAAAAGGACGTCCATACAGAAACCCCATCCAAAGGTCACCAATATCAAAGACCAAAGGTATGTAAATCCACAAAGATGAGGAAAAACCAGTGCAAAAAGGTTGAAAATTCCAAAATCCAAAATACCGCTTCTCCTCCAAAGTATCACAACTCCTCACCAGCAAGGGAACAAAACTGGATGGAGAATGAGTTTGATGAATTGACAGAAGTAGGCTTCAGAAGGTGGGTAATAATGAACTCCTCTGAGCTAAAGGAGCATGTTCTAACCCAATGCTAGGAAGCTAAGAACCTTGAAAAAAAGGTTAGAGGAATTGCTAACTAGATAACCAGTTTAGAGAAGAACATAAATGACCTGATGGAGCTGAAAAACACAGTATGAGAACTTTTTGAAGCATACACAAGTATCAAAAGCTGAATAGACTAAGCAGAAGAAAGGATATCAGAGATTGAAGATCAACTTACTGAAATAAGGTATGAAGACAAGATTAGAGAAAAAAGAATGAAAAGGAATGAACAAAACCTGCAAGAAATATGGAACTATGTGAAAAGACCAAACCTACGATTGATTGGTGTACCTGAAAGTGATGTGGAGAATGGAACCAAGTTGGAAAACACACTTCAAGATATTATCCAGGAGAACTTCCCCAACCTAACAAGACAGGCCAACATTCAAATTCAGGAAGTACAGAGAACACCAAGATACTCCTTAAGAAGAACAACCCCAATACACATAATCATCAGATACTCCAAGGTGGAAACAAAGGAAAAAAATGTTAAGGGCAGCCAGAAAGAAATGTCAGGTTACCTACCATGAGAAGCCCATTAGACTAAAAGTAGATCTCTCTGAAGAAACCCTATAAGCCAGAAGAGAGTGGGAGCCAATTTTCACCATTCCTAAAGAAAATAATTTTCAACCCAGAATTTCATATCCAGCCAAACTAAGCTTCATAAGAGAAGGAGAAATAAAATCCTTTCCAGACAAGCAAACACTGAGGGATTTTGTTACCATCAGGTCTGCCTTCCAAGAGCTCCTGAAGGCAGCATTAAATATAGATAGGAAAAACTGATATCAGCCACTGCAAAAGCACACCAAAATATAAGGGCCAATGATACTATGAAGAAATTCCTTCAACTAATGTGCAAAACAACGAGCTAACAGCATGATGACAGGATCAAATTCACATATAACAATATTAACCTTAAATGTAAATGGGCTAAATGCCCCAATTAAAACACACAGATTGCAAATTGGATAAAGAGTCAAGACCCATTGGTGTGCTGTATTCAGGAGACCCATCTCACATGCAAAGACAAACAGGCTGAAAATAAAGGAATGGAGGAATATTTACCAAGCAAATGAGAGCAAAAAAAAAGCAGGGGTTGAAATCCTAGTCTCTGATAAAACAGACTTTAAACCAATAAAGATCAAAAGAGACAAAGAAGGCTGTTACATAATGGTAAAGGGATCAATTCAACAAGAAGAGCTAACTATCCTAAATATATATATGCATCCAATACAGGAGCACCCATATTCATCAAGCAAATTCTTAGAGACCTACAAAGAGACTTAGACTACCACACAATAATAGTGGGAGACTTTAACCCCTCACTGTCAATATTAGACAGATCAACAAAACAGGAAATTAACAAGGATATTCAGGACTCAAACTCAGCTTTGGACCAAGTGGACCTAATAGACATCTGCAGAACTCTCCACCCCAAATCAACAGAATATAGATTCTTCTCAGCACCACATCACACTTATTCTAAAATTGACCACATAACTGGAAGTAAAACACTCCTCGGCAAATGCAAAATAACAGAAATCATAACAAACATTCTCTCAGACCAAATTGCAATCAAATTAAAACTCAGGATTAAGAAATTCCTTCAAAACTGCACAACTACATGGAAACTGAACAACCTACTCCTGAATGACTACTGGGTAAATAATGAAATTAAGGCAGGAATAAATAAGTTCCTTGAAACCAATGAGAACAAAGACACAATGTACCAGAATCTCTGGGACACAGCTAAAGCAGTGTTTAGAGGGAAATTTAAAGCACTAAATGTCCACAGGAGAAAGTGGGAAAGATCTAAATGATCTAAGATGAAAATGGCCATACAGCCCAAAGTAACATCACAATTAGAAGAACTAGAGAAATGAGCAAACAAATTCAAAAGCTAGCAGAAGACAAGAAATAACTAAGATCGGAGCACAACTGAAGGAGACAGAGGCACAAAAATTGCTTCAAAAAATCAATGAATCCAGGAGCTGGGTTTTTTTAAAAGATTAACAAAACAGATTGCTAGCCAGACTAATAAAGAAGAAAAGACGGAAGAATCAGATAGACACAATAAAAAATGATAAAGGGGATATCACCACTGATTCCTCAGAAATATAAACTACCATCAGAGAATACTATAAACACCTCTATGCAAATAAACTGGAAAATCTAGAAGAAATGGATAAATTCCTGGACACATATACCCTCCCAAGACTAAACCAGGAAGAAGTCGAATCCCTGAATAGACCAATAACAAATTCTGAATTTCAGGCAGTAATTAATAGCCTAGCAACCAAAAAAAGCCCAGGACCAGATGGATTCACAGCTGAATTCTACCAGAGGTACAGAGGAGCTGGTACCATTTCTTCTGAAACTATTCCAAAAAATATGAAAAGAGGGACTCCTACCTAACGCATTTTATGAGGCCGGCATTATCCTGATAGCAAAACCTGGCAGAGACACAACAAAAAAAGAAAATTTCAGGCCAATATCTCCAATGAACATCGATGTGAAAATCCTCAATAAAATACTGGCAAACTGAATCCAGCAGCACATCAAAAAGCTTATCCACCATGATCAAGTTGGCTTCATCCCTGCAATGCAAGGCTGATTCAACATACACAAAACAATAAACATAATCCATCACATAAACAGAACCAATGACAAAAACCACATGATTATCTCAATACATGCAGAAAAGCCCTTCGACAAAATTTAGCACCACTTCATGGTAAAAACTCTCAAGAAACTAGGTATTGATGGAATGTATCCCAAAATAATAAGAGCCATTTATGACAAACCCACAGCCAATATCATACTGAATGGACAAAAGCTGGAAGCGTTCCCTTTGAAAACCGACACAAGACAAGGATGCCCTCTCTCACCACTCCTATTCAACATAGTATTGGAAGTTCTGGCCAGGGCAATCAGGCAAGAGAAAGAAATAAAGCGTTTTTAAATAGGAAGAGAGGAAGTCAAACTGTCTCTGTTTGCAGATGACATGAGTGTATACTTAGAAAATCCCATTGTCTCAGCCCAAAATCTCCTTAAGCTGATAAGCAACTTCAGCAAAGTCTCAGGATACAAAATCAATGTGCAGAAATTACAAGCTTTCCTATACACCAATAATAGACAAACAGAGAGTCAAATCATGAGTGAACTCCCATTCACCATTACCACAAAGGGAATAAAATACCTAGGAATCCAACTTAGAAGGGATGTGAAGGACCTCTTCTAGGAGAACTACAAGCCACTGCTCAAGGAAATAAGAGAGGACACAAACAAATGAAAAAACATTCCATTCTCTTGGATAGGAAGAATCAATATCATGAAAATGGCCATACTGCCCAAGGTAATTTATAGATTCAGTGCTATCCCCATCAAGCTACCATTGACTTTCTTCACAGAATTAGAAAAAAATCCTTTAAATTTCATATGGAACCAAAAAAGAGACTGTATAGCCAAGACAATCCTAAGCAAAAAGAACAAAGCTGGAGGCATCATGCTACTTGACTTCAAACTATACTAAAAGGTTACAGTAACCAAAAAACATGGCACTGTACCAAGACAGATATACAGACCAATGGAACAGAACAGAAGCCTCGGAAATAATGCTACGCATCTACAACCATTTGATCTTTGACAAACCTGACAAAAACAAGCAATGGGGAAAGGATTCCCTATTTAATAAATGGTGATGGGAAAACTGGCTAGCCATATGCGGAAAACTGAAACAGAACCCCTTCCTTACACTTTAGGCAAAAATTAACTCAAGATTGATTAAAGACTTACATGTAAGACCTGAAGCCATAAAACCTCTAGAAGAAAACCTAGGCAATACTATTCAGGACATAGGCATGGGCAAAGACTTCATGACTAAAACTCCAAAAGCAATGGCAACAAAAGCCAAAATTGACAAATCAGATCTCGTTAAACCAAAGAGCTTCTGCACAGCAGAAGAAACTATCATCAGAGTGATCAGGCAACCTACAGAATGGGAGAAAACTTTTACAATCTATCCATCTGACAAAGGGCTAATATCCAGAATCTACAAGGAACTTAAACAAATTTACAAGGAAAAAACAAACAACTCCATCAAAAAGTGGGCAAGGTATATGAGTAGACACTTCTCAAAAGAAGACATTTATGGAGCCAACAAACATATGAAAAAAAGCTCATCATCACTGGTCATTAGGGAAATGCAAATCAAAACCACAATGAGATAGCATCTTATGTCAGTTATAATGGTGATCATTAAAAACTCAGAAAACAACAGATGCTGGAGAGGATGTGGAGAAATAGGAATGCTTTTACGCTGTTGGTGGGAGTGTAGATTAGTTCAACCATTGTGAAAGATAGTATGGCGATTCCTCACGTATCTAGAAATAGAAATACCATTTGACCCAGCAATCTTATTATTGGGTATATACCCAAAGGATTATAAATCATTCTACTATAAAGACCCATGCACACGTATAGTTATTGCAGCACTGTTCACAATAGCAAAGACTTGAAACCAACCCAAATGCCCATCAATTATAAACTGGATAAATAATATGTGGCACCTATATACCATGGAATACTATGCAGCCATAAAAAGGATGATTTCATGTCCTTGGCAGGGACATGGATGAAGCTGGAAATCGTCATTCTCAGCAAACTAACGCAGGAACAGAAAACCAAACACCACATGTTCTCACTCATAAGTGGGAGTTGAACAGTGAGAACACATGGACACAGGGAGGGGAGCATCACACACTAGGGCCTGTTGGGGAGTCGAGGGCTAGGGGAGGGATAACATTAGGAGAAATATCTAATGTAGATGACGGGTTGATGGGTGCAGCGAACCACCATGGCACGTGTATAACTATGTAACAAACCTGCACATTCTGCACCTGTATCTCAGAACTTAAAGTATTAAAAAGATTTTTTCTGACGCATTGTAAAGGTGATTGCTATTGGTAGAACTAACCAAGCTTAATGCATAAAACAATAGACTCTTGGCAATATGGTGGTTGTATATCTTCGTTATGGAAAATGTCTTTAAGACTGACCCTACACTGAGATGTAAAACAATGTATTAGTCATATTTGTGATCTTTTCTAGTGCATTGTACAAAAGAAGTAGAAGAAATGTGCTGCTGGTTATGAAAAATTAGTCTAAATGATTCCTACTCTTTTTTTCCAAAAGGGAAACAATATTAACTGTGCAATTTATTATATTGTCCTTCTATACTCAGGGCATTGCTCATGATAATTGGATAAAAGAGAATATTAAAATCATCATTGTCTTTAAGAATTATCAGGGATTTTAGGTAAAATATAAATATGATTCAGTGCTACGGGCAGATAGCAAACATGCCCTCTGTATTCTTGCACTTTGCGGTGGTACACGCAGCTCCACCCATCAAGAAATGGAGTTTATTTTTCTCTCTCTGGAAGTCCGGCTGAGTTTGTGAATAGCCTGTTCTCTTGAGACCTTTCTCAGCTCCATTTAAACATCAAGTCAAGGTTAGTTTGTTGCAGGTTGAGATGTTTTTATGGAGGAAAGCAGAGTAAGCATTTTGTCTCAGCCAAGCCTTAGAGATGGGAGAGCCCAGCCAAAATCAGCAAACTGATTCACAGTTGAAAACATATTCATGAGCAATTCTATTTGAAACAAGCTGAGCTTGGACCATAACATAACTGTCCAGTTGACCCACAACATCATAAGCTGGTAGTGATGAATGTAATGAATGGCTGGTTTTCTAAGCTGCTAAGTTTTGGCAGTGATTTTTAATGCAGCAAATGATAACAGATAAAATGATAGGGAGGGTGTATAGGACTTAACAGATTCCTTCTCTAAACAGGTTTTGCTTAACTGAGTTTAATTTTAAACTAAAGCCAAGTGCGGTGGCTCACACCTGTAATCCAGCACTTTGGGAAGCTGAGCCAAGCAGATCACTTGAGCTCAGCAGTTTGAGACAAGACTGGGCAGCATAGTGAGAACCTGTTTCTACAAAAAAAAATTAAAAAAAAAAGATTAGTCAAGTGTGGTGGGGTGTGCCCGTAGTCCCAGCTACTTGGGGGGCCGAGGCAGGAAAATTGCTTGAATCTGGGATGCAGAAGTTGCAGTGAAGTGAGACGAGAGATCATGCCACTGCATTTCAGCCTGGGAGACAGAGTGAGACTGTGAAAAAAAATAAATAAATAAACTAAGCTTTTTGCGGTCAAATTGTGTTTACAGAATAAAAATAATTTTCCATTCTTAACTTAAAAAACTAGCAAAAACAAATATTTAGTATATTAGTGTTTTGCCTTGTACTTGTTTGAGCCTTTAGTAAAATAAAATATGATAGTGTTTTGCCTTGTACTTGTTTCAGCCTTTAGTAAAATAAAATATGATAGGTCATCGGATCAGGGAATAAGCATGGTTTCTGAAGACAATCCTTCTTTTTATTATACGACTTCTAAAAGATTTCAGCCAATAGCTATAAGAACTCAGGAGGATCAAAAAAAACAAAACAAAATTAATATTAAACTCTGCACTCTGATGCACATAGCATTCTTTGCTAATTACTTAGCATAATCTTTCACAAGTAAGGATACACATTTTAAAGATTAAGTCTCCAAATCATACGAGAAGGCTTAAAAATACCAGGTGAGTCCACTTTAGCAGATGCAGAAATCAAATAATCATTTTTGTTTTATTCACTTTCTGGCCTTGGAGAATTCCCAGTGTTTTCTGAAATAAATGATGCCAGCTACTGTACAATATGGGAGTACAACCCCTCCTTACCTCCCGTCTTGGTCATTATGACAACAGCTCTGTGACATTCACTTTATGCCTTGCTTCCTATCAAAGGCCTCAAAGAAGATTGGAGGTCAGGAAGACAGAAAGTTTTATTGTTGACTTCTCACAAACTTCTAAGGAAAATGGTTACTGCCGTATTTTGTAACTTTTAAAATACATATATTTTATTGGTTAAATATGAGTTAAATTAAGTAAATAACAACATTTTATATAATAGAAGGTCATGGTATTAAAACTGTATTTTGAATAATTTTAATGAAATGAAATTAGAATCATTTTGGAAAGTAAGAAAGATACTGAATTGGCTGGACGCGGTGGCTCACGCCTGTAATCCCAGCACTTCGGGAGGCCGAGGCAGGTGGATCACAAGGTCAGGAGATAGAGACCATCCTGCCTAACACGGTGAAACCCCGTCTCTACTAAAAATACAAAAAATTAGCCGGGTGTGGTGGCGGGCGCCTGTAGACCCAGCTACTAGGGAGGCTGAGGCAGGATAATGGCGTGAACCCGGCAGACGGAGCTTGCAGTGGGCCAAGATCATGCCACTGTACTCCAGCCTGGGGGGCACAGCAAGACTCCATCTCAAAAAAAAAAAAAAAAAAAAAAAGATACTGAATTATACATAGTATCATTATATATAGTATAATTCAATACGGGTAAACTATCTCTATATATACATTTATAGGTACACCCAGGGATATCCTTGTAAAGTGAACATCTTCCTCACAAAAAACTGAAAATATTTCAAAATGTTAATAGACATTATTTTTTCATGTTGGGGTCATAAATGATCAAAAATTACTTTCACCTATACTCTTACATTTTTATAATTTCCTTAAACTCAACTGAAACGAAAGCTGCCCCTTATTAAAAACATTAGAGTTGGATAAAACATAACTTTATATTCCTCTGACAGTATGTCCTCCTTCCTTAAGCTCGCATATGAGTAAATTGTTTGCTCTCTCCATTAATATATATTACTGACCTGCCTTTGTTCCTGCTTTTTTCTTTACTTAGATCATGTTTTCTGTATTTTGTCCTTCCAAATTCCACTTCTCTTTCAAGATTCATTCTAGTCACCGTTTTTGTTTCCTTGTATTTATTTATTATTAGTCTGCTTGTCCCTCTTCTAGGTGGAACTAAGTATATCCAGGAACCCATATCGAGTGGTTTATAATATTCATCAAATTGTACTGAAAATGCTTGCTAATGTTTCTGTCCCTACCAATAAACTGTAAGCATCTCAAAGGAAGAGATCAGGGGAGTCACATTTACATAATCAAAACCTAGCATAATGCCATGGTCATAATATCTATTCAAATAATAATAATAATAGTATTATTCATTCTTTCATGTATTCATCTACTCAACAAGTTTTATTTGAATTATGTAGTACTCTGTATCAATACCAGAGCTAGATAATGGTGATATAAAAAAATTAGGTAATTTCTACACAACTCCTACTATAACACAGATGTTGGAGCTGGAAATGAAAGGAATTTGAAAAAAATATAATTGGAAATAATGGTAGCTTTCTTGGGAATGATACTTCTGAATCAACATAGAAACTTAACAGAGGTTTTGATATCTTCCAGAAAAAAATTCACTGTATGTTATGTGAAGTTTATATTTAAACTATTATACAGGGTGAATTCTAACCTTTTGGATGATGTAAAGCTGGAGCATTCAGCACTGAATTGCCAAGGTTTTGCCTGGAGCTAAAGATTATGGGGATAAGAACACAGTTGGGAAATATCTAGACCTAATCTTAGAATTTTGTCCACCATAAAAATAAATATATATAGTCATAGTTTTTTTTGTGAAATTTTTGACTCATGCTGAAAAAAATGCCTGTCACTGCTTGGCAGTCCTGTTCTGTAAGTAAGCATTAGTCCTTAAGGAAAAGCGGCATTTTGAGTTAAACACAATTCCTATAGCCGAGGACAAACCCTCCGTGTCCAGAAGCAATGACAAGTGATAAAATCAATAACTTCTTGATATCCTGAAAATTTTTCTCATGTTTGCAAATCCAATTTTCTGGAATGTGTTTGTTGGTGATGGGGAGCAAACAAAACAAAACAACAATATGGAAAAATCTCAGGAAGATATACATCTCCTGAATTGCAGCTATGCAGGAGATTGCATGTACCATATCCAGAGTGCAACAATCACATGATCATGTTCACTGTAGTAAATGGTACTCTCTATACTTGTGCAATTGCATTGAATCTTCCAGCCTTGTCAATTTCTCTCTTTTTCTGCCGTTTTCTCTCCATACTGTTGCCAAACAGATGTTTTTTTGTTTGTAGTCAGTTCTTGGAGTGATCGTGCTCCTTCTCTACCACAATGTCTTTGCATATGCCCTTTCCTGTGTTTAGAATGTTTATCTCCTCTGAATTTTCATCAAGTTAGTTTTTATTCATCCATCAGGTGTTGATTAAAATAATATTTCCTAAAGAAAAATTTCGTCAAGGCTATGTGTAACCGTAATCACCTTTCCACGGTTTCTATGAGATCAACTTTTTTAGATTCCTCATGCAAGTGAGATCATACAGTATTTGTCTTTCTTTACCTGGCTTATTTCATTTAGCATAATGTCCTCTAATACCATTCATGTCACAAATGACAGAATTTTATCCTTTTTTAAGGCTGATAGTATCCCATTATGCATATGTATGACATTTTCTTTATCCATTCATTCATTGATGGACACTTAGTTTGCCTTCTTATCTTGGTGATTGTGAATAAATATTGTATATTTCAAAATTGCTAAAATAATACATTTTTACTGTTTTCATCACAAAAAAGGTAAATTCATGAATTGACTAATATGTTAATAAGCCTGTCTTTTCACAGTGTCTTTTCACAGTGTATACATAGATCAAAACATCACATTATGTCCCATAAATGTATAATTATTGTCAATTAAAAATAAAGTTTTAAAAATGTTCATTGAAGCTATCAACAAATGATTGCAGTTACTCCATGGATGTAAGGAATGAAGGCTTTCTTACGAGTGCATCCTGTTTCTAATTCAAATCATAAGGAATGTCTTTCAAGTAAGGCATCACTCATGGACTTGTAGAATACCCAGAGCTACATGAACCATTGTTGTTGTTTAAGGGAGAAAGAAGTTTGAATGAACTGGAGAGTAGCCTGTATGAGTCTAAGCTAACTGTAGCAGTATTATAATCAAGTACAGCTAAATTAGTAAGGTCACATTTAACAAAACATTAGCATCCCAGTAAGAAAAAATGAATTGATTAGCTTCAGTCATGATTAGAGTTTCTATTTTAGTAATTTATAATGTATTTGCCATCATTAAGGTCATACTTTGGTGGTAAACATATTTCTTCCAGTTTTTCCTCTAGTTCAAGTTGTGCATTTTCACACTCAAATGTGAAATTGATGAATCCAGGGACAGAGATACTTTTCATCTACTAGAAGTTTGAAAAAATAAATCAATAGCTCTGGTAGTGGAATGCTTCTGATGTAATGCATGCTTTGGACATCCATTTCCAATTCTGTAAATCTGTTTCTTTCCCTGAGGCTCCTGGTCCCTTTACTTGCAGTAATAACTAGAGTCTTATTTATAAAAAATCCACAGTGTATACTTACAAAACTCATCCAGCAGTTTCAATTCTGTGATTAGTGCACCACAAATATGCAGTTCTGGAGTATCAAATAGTCAAACGTTAAGCATATATTTAGGGCATCATCATAGCAGCTGATAATTTACATTTGACAAGCATCAGGTTTATTATCAAAACTTTTTGGACATGTTTAGACTTATTTTAAGGTTATTATTTTCTTTCATGTATGTTTAATGGGAGACAATTTAATATGTTTAATGCTTAGGACTTTGAATTCCTTTTTATAGACTTGCAAATATGCCAAGTAATGTTATCTTCCCTGTACTCATTCTCACATTGTTTCTTGTTTGTATAATGCCTTTCCTCACATATGCTCTCACTGAAATCTAATAAGCTTTAAAGATTAAGTTAATTCCTTACTCCAGCAATTTCTGAGTCATAATAGATAAGAAGTTCTGTATGCCAAAAGCCTTTTATTGTTTAAAATATTTATTTTGAGAATTAAAACTTAAAATCATAAATTTTATTTTGTGTAATAATGATTAGTACATATGTCTAAACACCTTTATAAGATTACAAAGACAAAATTTCTATTTCAAAATCAACCATACACTTTTCTGAGAGAGAGCTTAGAACTCACATTCTGTATCTGATTAAGTTCAGTTTACATAATTTAACTGTTAGGACGTCTACAGCCAAAAAGCTGGTGGAGTCAGAAATAGCAATTATTTTTCCTGTCTTTCGATTTTGTATTCTCTACCAAACTGTCTTGCACAGTAATTAGCATATGATTAATATTCATTATTATTGAATTTAAATATTTAAAAATTTTGTGTAACTCAAGACAATTCATAAATAATCTTGAGAAAATACATTCCAATGCAGTTTTATTTTCTATCAATATGCACACATCCAGTTAGCATTGGGTTATGCTGTATTCTGCTGACTCAATTTTTCACTCAGGTTCATGTCTTTGTTCCTCTTGCACATATCTGAACACACACAACCTGGTGGACACTCTATGCTGGGTAGACACTACTACAATGAAACATGAATAAAACATATACTCTGTCCTGTTGGCAAGAGCTTTCTATCCTCTCGTGTGAGTAGCACAGACATTAAAAGCTATATTTTAATTCCTGCTAAATATAGTACTGCAATCTCACTAGTTAGTATTATTTTAATTCTATTAAGAGGTATCATTGAGGTTTCATTACAACAGGATCCTATAATTCTCTCAGGAAATAGGATCTCTGCTTTGGTGGAGCTTTAATTTTAGTGAATACCATGTAACACGTGACCCAACCCTTTGTGCAAATGTCTTCATTCAAATATTGACTTGGCATAGGACAAACCTCTGAATAATGACTTACAGTGGAATTCCAATTATGTAAGTTTAATACATTATAAAGAACACAGTGGACTTTTTCTTAGGAAATTTAATTTTGTTATTTTCAAATAGAATAAGTGTTCTAGAATATTAATCCCAAAACAGAAAAAGATAGCATCATCAACTTGTCTTCAGTCATTTGTTTTAAATGCAATTTTGCCGTTTTATGAGAACAGGTATTACTGTATTGCTTAGTGACATTTCCCAGGAATTGCAATTTCATATCTATTATTCCCTATCTTTGAGACAAAAAAGAACTAGAATCTTATGTATATCACCATAATTCATCAGATAAACACTTACAAGAGAAATATGTATCATTTCAATACTGATCTCTCTCTCTTCTCTAGACACACACATACACACACAAAGTCACTAACTAAACTTATTTTGGAAAATCTAAAGGAGCCAACATTTCTACTTGAATTGAACCAAAACATTTTCTCATAGCCAAAGAGTTGAGTAACTTTCAGATAGTATATTATACAAAATTTATCAGAATAAATTCTTGGAAATCTCATAGTAACCCATGTAATCCTTCCCCAGACCACTTTTAGTGTGTAAACCAAAAGTTAAGAACTGTCCATCTTAAGGTATGTTTCATATTGATATACACAGTAAACTTTACTCACATTGAAAATCAAAATATTCAACATGAAAATCCATATTTCAAAATTCCATTGGCAAATCAGAAAACATGACTACAACGGGTGCATGTTTTTGCAATGTAACAACTGCCTCCCTTGAGAAAAGAAGTTATTTTTCCAGTTTCTTCCCACAACTATCTATTGTGTTGATTCTGAGGCCAAGAGACAAATACCATGTTTCTCTCTTATATCTGGATGGATTCATTCATTCATGTCTTTTCTCTGGCCCTTTAGGCATTTGAGGTATGGCCATTATCTTGGAAAGTTTTAGGATGTCACCAAAGACTTTAGAAAATAGAATATCTTCCCATCACAGTTTTCCCATATTCTACTGCTTTTTTCTTTTTAGACCAAGTGCCTACCACTTTTCTTCTTGAAATTTTCTAGGTTTATTTATATTATTACCATTTTTTGAACTTCTATTTTTATTCTGTAGACAAGATTCCAAAAATTATCTTGGATTTTTTTCCAATGTCTTATTATTTCACATGTAGCTTTAACAATATCAGAAACTTAGGTTCCTAAGCATTTTCTTTTACTGCCAAGAGTTCCATATTTTAAATATATTTCTCTGATTTCATTCTTATTTTCTTTAAATATGATGAATTGAAAATCTTGTTTCTGAAGGTATTGAGATTTAGTTACTGTTTTGCCAAAGGGTTTTGATGATGAACAAGATTATTTAAGTCACATATTGCTGTGAAAGTCAGAGCAAGAACAAAATTTGCTAAATAAATGTTTTCACTCTGTTTTGCCTCCAGGATTGTGTTGCACAGCATATAATATGTTGATACATTACTGATAAAATAGCTGCTTGCAATGATACAAATTAATAGAAGAGATTTATCATTTTTATCAAGTAATAGAAACAAGTACACTCCTAGGAAATAGGACTTATCTCTGAATTAAAGCAATTAAAATCATGCCACTGAACCTCACAACCTTAGTCTTGTGAGGTTATTTAAAATTGCTTCTGGTCATATGAAATAAATTTTTAATGAGTAACATAGAGGGATGGGAGTACTGAAGGATATAAAGACTTCTTGGTAAACATCATTTTGAATCCCTTGTAAAGTATATGTCACATCAAACTTAATCCTATTATACACTTTTGTTACAAGAGTTATACTTCCACTATTGTGGCTTTAGGAAGTTGGGGTTTTTCGTATTCCAAGAATAATGGGAAACTTCTTTTGTTTCATGGTTTACTATTGATATATAGTTCTCTTTTAAATACATGGGTCCATTTTAATATACAAGGTGTATCTACAGGTTGCCTTTACATACTTAGAATGTATAATTATACATATTTTTAGAAGCACATTATCGAGACATTTCACAAAAAAATTTACAACTTGTCCAGTGACTAAGGACGTTATGCAATTATTCCAGTTATCCTGTTGGCATTCTGAACTATAAACATATTGTTCAAAACATTTAGATTAGGAAAAGAGTTTAAAAAAGCATGAAAATGGGCATTCTTTGTTCGATTTTTCGTAAAGATATTAGAATCATATATTCACTAAATTAGAGAGATAAAAGTAACACTAAAGTCACAATATAATTTTAACATAAACATTTTACACCCATAGTAGTACAAAATTGTTTCATATCATAGGGCAAATGTCATTGGTCTCAATTAACCAGACACAGTTGACCCATGAACAATAGTGGTTTGAACTGTGCCGGTCCTCTTACAAAGCTGTGGTTTTTTAGCCAAAAGCCATCCAAAAATATAGTATTTTCGGAATGCAAACCTGCATGTACAGAGGGCCACCTTTCCTCCATGCAGGCTCCTAAGGCTGATGCAGAATTTGAGTATGTGCAGACTTAGGTATATATGGGGGATGAGTATATGTTAGCAGATTTGGGTATGTGTGGGGGATCTTTGAACCAACCCCAAGTGTATACCCATAGATAACTATAACACTATTTATACTCTTTATTTGTATTGTCATGACCAACTATTTTGGAGAAAGAACTTGCATTACATAATATTGGAAATAGGTTTTTTTTGGAACTCAGACCAGCATAAAACTGGAAAACATGTTAAATGAATAATTGTATAGCATATCCCACTCCTTGGATTCCTACCAAGAGGTCTTTGAAAAGGTGAGGTAAATACGGCCAAGAGGTAAAGTTAGAAACACATTTTTAAAATCAGTTTCTTGATTTGATATTAAATGGTAGAGAATTTAAACTTCAGGCAATAAAAGAATATGAAAGATCTTTCAAAACATTATTTCAATAGTTGTCATCATTGTCTATAGTGTGTAGGTTATTTTGTCTCTGTATATTTTAAACACCTTTGGAGAAACCTGCTGTGTATTTGTTGTAACAAGTCAAAGAGACAATTTCACTTTTCTCTAGATAATTAAAATTGTCACAGCCTAGGTCTAATAATGCTTTCACTATTTATCTTTAGTTTTTTTCTTATATGTTTGTTTAAATTAGATTTAAAACGTATGATAAAAGCATTCCACATAGTCACTTCTCTAAGAAAAAAACTACATTTAAAACAAATTTCAAGCCCAGGCACAGTGGCTCATGCCTGTAATCCCAGCACTTTGGGAGGCCGAGGTGGGTGGATTACGAGGTCAGGCATTCGAGATCAGCCTGGCCAATATGGTGAAACCCCTGCCTCTACTAAAAATACACAAAATTAGCCGGGAGTGGCAGGCACCTTTAATCCCAGTTACTTGGGAGGCTGAGGCAGGAGAATCACTTGAACTCAGGAGGCAGAGGTTGCAGTGAGCCGAGATCACACCACTGCACTCCAGCCTGGGCGACAGAATGAGACTCTGTCTAAAAAAAAAAAAAAATCAAAACCACATTATTATTTCAGGTGAACAAATTTAGATGTTTGATTTTCTCTAGACTATCTGCTTCTGTGCAACGCTTCCCCATCCCATGTTCTTACCCCACACCTTGCCTTAAGTGCACATTCAGTTTATAATTTAAATATTTGACAGTACCTTCCAAGACATAAAATATTGCTCTTTTTTCCCTGCTCTGGATTTTCTTATATCATAATTGTCAATGATCTCAATTAACCAGACATATAGGAATAATATCACAACTGTGAAAGTTAAAAGTACATGAAATTCTAAACAGCTGTTTTAATCATGTCTGATTACAGAACTTTTGAAATAAATTTTGAGTTATAACTTAAAACCCAGGGAAAATTTATATTATGATTAAAAGTTATTACAAATCACACCATAATTTATTTCAAAGCATGTGAATTCTAGATATTCATGTTAGAATTTTATTTGTATTGTCAAGGAAAATGACATGCACTTGCAGGAAAAAAAAACGTTGACAACAGAGATAATGATAACCTAGGCTCGCCTGAAATGTTCCATTACAATAAGAAATTATTAATCTGAAAACTCCCACATATTGGCATATTGAAAGCTATCGCTATTTTTGTTTATTTGAATAATTTCCAATTTTTATTTCTTGTATAATGGTATTTTATTATTTTCTTTTTAGTTACATCCATAAGTTTAGAAAATTATGTTCCCTCTGAGATATAGAATTTTCATCTTGTATAAAATATTAAGAAAAATTATCTACTTTAACATAAACTCTAATGTAAGGAGTTAAAAATTATATCCATTGGCTTCTGAAAAGACCATGAGCTACCTTTCTTGATCTAGATAATCATTTCTTTTCATAGTAGTTGCACATGTTTTGTAAGAAGGGAAAAAGGAGATAAAACTAGCATATTCAAAGAGTTAAGAACACAAATTCTAGCTTCATTTGTGTTTGGTCTCTAAGAAAGATGGCATGTGTGAAGGGGTGGGTTGCACCTCCACACCTGTGGGTTTTTCTCCTTAGGTGGAACGAGAGACTTGCAAAAGAAAGAGACACAGAGACAAAGTATAGAGAAAGAAAAAAGGGGGCCCGGGGGACCGGCGTTCAGCATACGGAGGATCCTGCCGGCCTCTGAGTTCCCTTAGTATTTATTGATCATTATTGGGTGTTTCTCAGAGAGGGGCATGTGGCAAGGTCATAGGATAATAGTGGAGAGAAGGTCAGCAGGTAAACACGTGAACAAAGGTCTCTGCATCATAAACAAGGTAAAGAATTAAGTGCTGTGCTTTAGATATGTATAACATAAACATCTCAATGCCTTAAACAGCAGTATTGCTGCCCACATGTCCCACCTCTAGCCCTAAGGCGGTTTTCCCCTGTCTCAGTAGATGGAATATACAATCGGGTTTTACACCGAGACATTCCATTGCCCAGGGACGAGCAGGAGACAGATGCCTTCCTCTTGTCTCAACTGCAAAAAGGCGTTCCTTCCTCCTTTACTAATCCTCCTCAGCACAGACCCTTTACGGGTGTCGGGCTGGGGGACGGTCAGGTCTTTCCCTTCCCATGAGGCCATATTTCAGACTATCACATGGGGAGAAACCTTGGACAATACCTGGCTTTCCTAGGCAGAGGTCCCTGCGGGCTTCCGCAGTGTTTTGTGTCTCTGGGTACTTGAGATTAGGGAGTGGTTTGAGACTAGGGAGTGGTGGTGACTCTTAACGAGCATGCTGCCTTCAAGCATTTGTTTAACAAAGCACATCTTGCACAGCCCTTAATCCATTTAACCCAGAGTTGACACAGCACATGTTTCAGGGAGCGCAGGGTTGGGGGTAAGGTTACAGATTAACAGCATCTCAAGGCAGAAGAATTTTTCTTAGTACAGAGGAAAATGGAGTCTCCTATGTCTACTTCTTTCTACACAGACACAGTAACAATCTGATCTCTCTTTCTTTTCCCCACACATGTGCTTATAAAAAATAGCAAGAGAATTGCACTCATGCTAAGTATATTCTATCCTTTACGTACTCTGCTTACTATTTCTCTAACACATATTTATATATGTATTTTATGCTACATTTGACTTTTTCTTAAAAATAAAGTAAATTAATTTAGAGCAACCAGTTTCATAAAGTTAGCTGTTATTTCATGTTCACCTTAAATCAAAAAGTAATTATATATGAACATTCAGAGGAAAATAATATATGGACAACTTTTCCTACATCAGTTACAAATGGGGTCAATAAAAAAATCACAGTTTTCAACACGGAAGGTATTATTACCTTTAATTTATCATAAATCTATCATATATATTATATTCAACATGATATATATGAAAAGTGTATATATTCAACAAAAGATAGGCATATATTTGTTGAATCTTCTCATTCACATATTGCCAAATTTTGAATTTTAGAAAGATAAAAGAAATAAAACTCTTTGCTTTATTGTTGTTCAATTATGCACGAAGGTATGCCTCATGTACAATTATAACATAAAGATACTAGATCAATCATTTCCAAATATAAACCAGTTATTAAATCACTGAGATGGATTACTAAACATACATTTTTGAACATTTAGCATATAAACAGTAGTTTCTTTTTTCAATTCACTTCAACATGTTTCCTGTGGATGGAAGGGGTTCGTATCATAAATCACTTATCTAATAACTTAATTGACTTTACACGGTTGTGTTTGGGGCTAAAAAAATCAGACATATTGTAAGGGCTAATGACACTTTGTAAGCTTTCTAATTGTGATAGCATGATAATTAGAAAGAACCTGATGCTGTTTCTTTCAATATTTGTTACTGATTGAATCTCCTACCAAAAAACAACCTCCACATACACAGGTATGTTCCTCCCATATTCATCCCCATGGCCTGAACAATTGCTTGAACAGAGCAGATAATCAATAAATGTCTTCTAAATTGAATCAATTAAAATAATTTTAAAGGCAGTCACAATATCTTTTTAAAATGTACGTAGGAAATTTTCTAGTATGCAGTTTTGAGTTACATAAAATTCCCATTCACAAAACTGATATGTGTCAATAAAAACATTTCAATGATAAAAATTATTATGCATTTTATTCTTTTTGTGATGAAAATAGAAAGCAGTGTTCTGACTTGGTAATCCTATAGGGATAACATGATTAAATATATTATCCTATAGGGATAACATGAATTAAATATATTTATAACATTGCCAGGGCTATAATTTCAAACAATTTTTGCATACTGAATTACTAAAGAAAGCTACCACCCTCTAAATTGATGGTGACTAATAAAGAGAAGGTAAAAAAAAGAGGCAAAGACAATTTAATAAATTATTATTTACTATTCATTAGGATTTAGCTCTCTGTAACATGACTTTTTCCACTCTTCCCAGCAAGAAGTGGAGTTGAGCTCCCCATCTCAAATCTTGACCATGTAACTTGTTTTGGCTTATATAATAAGAGATTTCTAAATGTGACAGGAAGAGGCTTGGGCAGTGATTGCTCATTGGTAGATGTCCTTTCTCATTGCTTTTGGATACTCATGGCTCAGTTTCCTGAATGCCCAAGCCATCTGCTAGCTTATCAGGGAAGTTCCAAGCAGAGTGGCGCTGCACAAGTGAGTCAAGGCAACAGCAGCAAAGCAAGGTCCAGCAGATCCCAGGAAAATTTCCAACCCACATCATTACCTAATAATTCTTTATTGTTTTTAGCCACTGGTTTTGCAGTTGTTTCTTACGCAGTTAAACCTAAATGATAGAGATGGAGATAGTCAGGGTCTTTATTTTTCTCTTATCTGATTCGAATTAAACAGTAAGATCAGGAAAACAGTACAGTCATCTAAAAGTCAGCCAGTATTTTGACTTGCATGCAGGAATTCCTTCACTCACAGCCATGCCTGGACAAGTTTGAAACATGTTTCTTGGCAATGTAACTTAGAGAATCCTAGAAAAAAAATAGCATGCGATATCAATAATGCTGAGAAAAAAATATTTTTCAACTGATTAAAAAAGTAATTTGTATAGGATTTTAAAAGTTGTCTTCCACTTTAGAAGGAGAGAGTAGGAGAAATAATCAGAGCAAAAATACGCAATACTACTAAACTAAGAAATAAGTAGATAACAGTATAAATATATAAAGTGCAGTTAAAATGATTAGTCTTAAGGCTGAAATAAAAACCATCTTTATGGAAGCAAAGATAGGCAGTAAATGGAAATACCTGATAAGTAAAAATATCGAAAGAAACCTAAGTAACCAGAGTGGACAGTATTTTGGAGAGATTTTTCAAAGGCAATGATTAAAACCAATCCAATAAATGAAAAACTTGTCCTGGGTTTGTGATATAAGAAATTTGTTATACTTCATTTTGATGTTGATTGCAAATGCAGATTCAGGAACAGACAAATTTGAGGGAATTATGAAAAGATTCTAAATATGATTAAGGAATAGAGGTACAAATTCACTACAAAAGATTAAAGAATATAAATACAGAGAGCTTGGCTAAGTGTAAGTGGCTGAAAATAGGACAGCAGGCTCCAAATCCATGATATACATAGAAATAATTTTTAAAAATGTTTTCAGATTCATTTCAGCAATCACAACTCTTTGAAATTTGAACCTATATTATATTTAAAATTAAGAAATTGTTACCCATATACAAAAACGTACATTACATATAAAGGAAAATTTAATGAAATATAGTAACTATTCTTTAATAATGGACAGAAAGATGATATGTTTAGAATTCTAAACTTGTGGAAGGCAGTGATGATAACAATTGCCTAATATTTATTCCAGATTATAGCAGCAAAAAGTTGTGTAAACAATGCTATTGGATTAATTTCTTCCATTTATTTTCCAAGAGATTCATAATTGCATTCTATAACACACATATAAATGAAAAACAAATAAGTATGAAATACTGTATCAAAACATGATGCATCAAAAATTTTAGTTAATAATATAATTACTGTGATTAAGTGTTAAATTTACCTTTGAATTTCCTGTGATACTCTCGTGCCAAAAACAAAAAAAACTTTAAAAATGCCAGGTTATATATTACTTTGCATTCAGATGAAGCAAGCCTATTTATCAGAAGTAATAAATAACATAATGATGAAGTCATAAAATCCAGTAAGTTCCTCATGCATCCTCTACATTTCTGTTTCTGATATTATTGAAGTTTTATTCTAACACCTTACAAAAACTGCTTAATATACTGTGTCTCAATTTTAAGTGGCCTGGAAAATGACATTTATTGGAATTATTGTATTCAGGTAGATATTATGGGGTAGTTATTTGATACTGTGGCTTGAACTCCAGTGAGAAACTGGTTTAATCCAAGTTAATAAAATATCCTTGTTTGCAGTGTGTCCTACAATCGTTTTTATTATTTATTTTCCAGAGTTACAGCATAGAGCATTCTTAAGCTCAAACACCACTGTGATAAATATTAAACCATGTAAGTCTTCTGGGGCGGAAGTAAAAATAGTAGACTTTGAAAGGAATAAGTAAAAATTCCTCTATAATTTGGAATCGAGATGATAAGTTAAATTTCATCTGAACAGCTGAATTTAGGCAATTCAAATTCTCTGAAAATGTAACTTGTGTACTTTGATATCAAAAGGATTAATTTAGAAAAAAATCTTTGAGCAATTAAAGTCTTATTATTTTAATTTGCTCTTACCGACCACTTGTTATGATAATTTATGATTGGTTTGTGTTTTGACTTGACATTGGAAAATATAACTTACAGAAATGACAAGGGCTTCCTCAGGGTTTATGTTGCCCAATCAAGGAAATGACGTCATTCCTATACAATCACCTTGTCCAAGATTGCCTGCCAGTTTCCTTGCCATCTTTTCATTGTCATGATCACCATTATGAGTTATAAGCCAATAATTTAATGACCAACAATTTAAATGACCTCAATTTCCCTCCACATTCTTCTTTAGTGCATGATATGTTCATTTTACTTTTTAACATCTTTCACGTTTTAGCAAAGTAGTTATTTAAAATGCATGCAGAGCTAGAAAATAAATTAGTAGGGTAAAGGGTGTTTCAAGATGATGGAAAATGTGCCTCATGAGCTGTTGCCTTTTCTATTTCACAGCGTTACTGAAATAAGGTATTAGAAATGAGTTTTCACAGGTAAATATAAAGCTACTGTATATATTTTTTATTTCAAAGTACATTTCTTTAATGTTTTCACATCATTATCCTCATTATAGTGAAATCTGAAATAAACAATGCAGTCTATGACATACAGTTGCAGGGTTTAATACCTTGACACATTCAAAATACTCAGGCATTTAATTGAGGTTTTTATACTGAAGATTTCACTGAAAATGTGTAGATCATTTTTACGGTTTGCTGATATATTTTAATTTGTGTTTATAGACAGTAACTAATTTTACCTACATTTTTTATGTTACCTGAACATCTATATTTTCTAGAACTATTTGGAACAACTAGCACTTTTGTTGGAATGAGACAAATAAGAATGTACATTTTGAAAAGCAACCTTTGTATTGGCAGAGCCAGTGAGCATAATAGTTGGCTACAGTTACAGTGGTGTAAAATTTATAAATTACTATATATTTCAATACTTTTATATTGTTTCCTCTCATTTTCTTCTTTGAAAATTTTCTTCTGCAAACCTAATGCAATATGTTGAACATGTTTTATTCTCTTTATTTTCTCCTAGGTTATGATTTTTGCAAACCATATTTTTTTCTCATTTCTCAAAGCATCCATTTTGAATGTTGTCAATGGATAGGTCAAAAAGTAATTTTAACTTGATAAAACTGTCCAAAAATTAAAATATGTCATAAGTTATTTTTATAGATATTTTATGCTTTATTTTTCTAAACATATCTCTGAAACAGATTTTTGAAAAAATGGGTCACATAGAGAAACACATAGAAAGAAAAAATGCTGCAAAAGATATAGAAAAAAAGACAGTGCCAAGGATAAACTAAAATTTATACTGTTTAGCTCTGGTCCGATGTTATAGGTGTCACAGGTGTGATTGCTGCAGTTTTACCAGATTATATTTTGACTGCAAGGCACATAATAAAGAGTATTATGTGGCTGGATTCCAGAGTCCAGAGGAGAAAATGTACATCATATTAAAGTGCCTAAAATGGGCTGCATTTAAAATTGTAACTAATTTTTAAAACTTTGCTTTTTACTAGATTTAATACAATTTCTGATTGCTATAGAAGACCCAGGCAAATGTACTACCATCTATTAACACAAATTCTCAGACGGCCACATCATACTTTAATGTGAAGAAAAGAGAGCCATGTGGTTCTCCATAAAATTTTATAAAATTTCTGGGCAGTAGACCTTACACTAGTGATAACATTGCCCTCACAATGATATGCCAGATAGTTTTATGCAAGTGAATTAAAGTAAAATAATGTACAGATCAGCCTAAAAGGAATATGTCCATTAAAAACCTATCATATGGTTATTTTGTCTTGACTCTCACTAAATTAAAGCAGATTATAGGAATCTTAGCAACTGAGGTTTTATGAATCCAAATATTTTCTCTCCTACAAAAGGTCCTAGAAGTTCTGGCACATTAACTCCTCTATTATATATGAACAGAAATATCACAAAGTGCAGATTGCAATGAATTTAGCTTTATACAGTCATGACATTCTGTCTTCAGAGAATTGGGCTTATTCATCATCCCTGATGAAGGTAGAAACACACCTTCATCTCATTTAAATAAAACAAGAACTTTTTAACCTAGAGTTTATTAATACGTGAAGATCCCTAAAGTTTCATGCAAATGGGTGCATAAGCCAAATTGAATTTTTTGGAGGAGAGAATCAAAATGGGGACATGACTCTTAAAAGAATTACAATGACTATATAAAATTGTATAGATATGAAAATATAATTTTCTTTTCATTTATTCCTTTAATCAGCAGTTTTCCTGTTGTTTTTTCTCATTGGTTTGTATTAATTTTTGACTTTTCATATATAACAAATAGTAGACAGTATTCCAGATCCCACCAACTATTGATTTTTTAATTTGATTTTTGAAAACTTTGTTTGTGATACCTCCTCTAGAGATTAAATAAATAAATGGCTGGTTTTATTCAATTAAGAAATAGATTTGTTTTCTAATGATGAAATGGCATTTACCAATCCAACATTCATTGCTCCTTAAATATAATCTGAAATTTTATGGAGTAGATTATTCTTTGGTGCTGAGGGAGAGATAAAAGAGACAGGCCAGTGAAATTTTCACATAGCAACTTCTTATCTTCTATTTTTCCAGAAACTCTGCCTTTGTAAAGTTATGAAAGTTTTAAAGTTTTTAAATTATGAGTTTTTAAAGTCATAATTTAAAGTCATAAAGACTGGAGTGCACTGGCGCAATATCAGCTCACTGCAGCCTCCGCCTCCTGGGTTCAAGCGATTCTCCTGCCTCAGCCTCCCAAGTAGCTGGGACTACAGACATGCCATCACACCCAGCTAATTTTTTTATTTTTAGTAAAGACGGGGTTTCACTGTGTTGGCCAGGATGGTCTGGATCTCTTGACCTCAGGAGATCCACCTGCCCCAGCCTCCTAAAGTGCTGGGAGTACAGGCACGAGCCACCGTGCCTGGCCTGGGCCTTTTATTCTCTAATCTTTATCCTGATTGGTGGCAATTGCCCTTATAGTTTACAACTTATAGAATTACAACCGAGTGTAAAATTAATCTCTTTGTTGAGATTCAATGTTTTCCTTACACAATTACTTTGCAAGAAGTAACATTTGAAATAAAATTTTTCTGGGCCTGTTCATCTTAGCTGTCATGTGCCCCAGTTTTAATTTTCCTAGTCTTTTTACATCCCTAACTCAGTTGACGCTCTTACAAATAATTCCACCTCCCCCAAAATGACAAGTTGGGAATATGAAGAGCAGATTAGAGTAATAAGTATTTTCCATTTTGTATTTTAAGGAATATTTTAGTCTAATAACTTATCAGTTGAGACAGTGAGAATTATAATTAAAGTTAAATAACATGATTTGGTACAACTTCCAATTTCCTAATTACCATTTCAAATAGCTAAATGAACCTCATAATGTCATATTCTAAAATCCACCAAACTCAGAACACTTAAAATGTCAACAAAGGAGATAAGAAAAAAAATTTTTCTTACTGCTATCCATCTCTTCTATTTGACAGCACAAAAAGCATTTAAATATATTTTAAAATATACAGAGCCTGGGCTTTGAAATAATACAAGCCATGTCATCACATACAAATGTAAGCTATGTCGTAGTTTAGCACAGAAAGTGGTTGAATAAACCTCCTATAGGATTGACAGTGTCATTCTTTCCTGGAGCCAGAAAGTTCAAACAAGATTTGGCCAAATTATTCTTTGAACTTTCAAGGACCTGTTCTGTTAGAATTTTCTGTACTGGGTAAGATGGAAATAAACTATTCATGCAACCTTTTTTTATATTTTTTAGGAAAGAATAAGAAAATGAAAAAAATCTAAAAATGTATGGGCAGATTGTGTTTGGAAATGGTTTGGAGAAATAGAAAAAATTAAGGATATATAAAAAATATGCATAATACACTATGTGTTTCAACTTTCTTTTACTTATACAGAAAATTTGAAGAAACAATTACTGTCTTTTGTTTTTAAATTAGTTTCTGAGGGCCTTTCTGGTTAGTGTTGTTGTTTTTGTTAATAAGAGTCCTCAGGGAAGAAATACTTTGTATTAATGGATAAATATAATAATGTATACTAATATAAGCTTATTATGAGACAAATATTAGTCTTGTGGCTTATATATTTAACTTGTTTAACGTACACTGTGATCTATGAATTAGGTACTATTATTGATCTTGATTTTACAGAAAGAAAATTGAGGTCAAGGGGCATCAGCTACTAAACTCTGAAGGTGGCTTAGAAACCAGGTGATCTAGCTTGAGACACTGGGTTCTTAGCCATTAGTCTATACTGCCTCTCAACATGTAACTATTTAAATATAATATGTGGATTTGTGAGTTTTTCACTTAAAATGACTTTTACTAGAAACATGAATTAATATATAGAAATTATTTAGATGTCTGCTGAACGATATTATAGCTACACACACAAAAAGAATCCTTAATTTTTTTTTTTTTTTTTTTGAGATGGAGTTTTGATCCTGTTGCCCAGGCTGAAGTGCAATGGTGTGATCTCGGCTCACTGCAACCTCTGCCTCCTGGGTTCAAATGATTCTCTTGCCTCAGCCTCCTGAGTAGCTGGGGTTACAGGCATGTGCCACTGCGCCTGGCTAATTTTGTATCTTTAGTAGAGACAGGGTTTCTCCATGTTGGTCAGGGTGGTCTTGAACTCCCGACCTCAGGTGATCCACCTGCCTCTGCCTGCCAAAGTGCTGGGATTACAGGTGTGAGCCACCGCGCCCGGCCTGCATGTCAAGATAAAAATATTTTAGAAATATTTGGTTAATAAAATATATTATTATTTCTATAAATTCTGAAGGAATTTTTGTAGAATTGGCATTTTTTTTTTTTTTTTAATATTTGGAAGAATTTGCCAGAGAAGCCATCAGGCCTGGAGTTTTCTTTGTAGAAAGAAATCTGAAATTAAAGCATTAAAAATTCAATTTGGATTGTTCAGGTATGGATATTTTTATTCAATCAACATTTCTCTGACTTTTAATTGGTATTTTTAGATCATTTACATTTAATGAGATTATTGATAGGGTTGGATGGAAATGTATTATTCTGCTATTTGTTTTCCTTATACCTGATCATTGTTTTCATTTTCTTCTTTTTCTGCCTTCTTTTGAGTACTTTTCATTATCTGATCATTTGATCTCCTTTATTGGCTTATTGGCTATAACTCTTAATTTTTTTCTTTTGCTTAGTGATTATGTTAGTGACACGAGAGGAGTTTTCCTTTATCTCCCTTGCAGGGTGTGCGACAGGGGTGTGGCTCGCTTCTTTCCTGCCCAGCTGCTCAAACCCCTAGGGGGAGCATGCTGGTGGGCTGGTTGTGGGGAGCATCTTTGGGCTCCAAACCATCACAGTATATAGGGTTGAGCTTTTACAACTCTGGAAGCCCCAGTGCAGGTGTGTTACAGTGTGCTCTTCCAGTTTTGTGTCTGCAGGCAGCTTGTGTTAATCAGCTCAATTAGACACTCTGCCTTTTCAGAAGGACATAGGACTTTCTGTATCACAGGGTTCTTGTCTTGGCGTACTGGAAATACTGGATCACAGGTGGGCTTGGAGAATGTGCAAGGTTTTATTGAGTGGTGGAAGTAGCTCTCAGCAGATCGTTGGGGAGCCAGAAGAGGGATGGAGTGGAAAAGTGGTCTTCCCCTAAAGTTGGGCAACTCAGCACCCAGGCTTTCTTCCAACTGGCCTCAGTGGAATTCCTCTCAGGGTCCACGTCTTTTTTTTGTTTTGAGATGGAGTCGGTCACTCTGTCACCCAGGCTGGAGTACAGTGGCACAATCTCGGCTCACTGCAACCTCTGCCTTCCAAGTTGAAGCGATTCTCCTGCCTCAGCCTCCCGAGTAGCTGGGATCACAGGCGTGTGCCACCATATCCGGCTAATTTTTGTATTTTTTTAGTAGAGATGGTGTTTCACCATGTTGGCCAGGCTGGTCTCGAACTCCTGACCTCAGATGATCTGCACGCCTCAGCCTCCCAAAGTTGGGGTCCACGTCATTCTGTGTCATTCTGCCCTCAATGGCCTGTGGGCGTCTGTAGCTGTGTTCTGCCGGTGTGTTCCTCTCGATGTTCAGCATTTGTGTGTGTGCCCACTAGGGTCTTGGGATTTTTATAGGCACAGGATGGGGTGCATGGTGGGCTAGAGTGGTCCGGGAAAATGCAACATTTGGGCATGAAAACAGGAATGTCTGTCCTCACTTAGGTCCGTGGGCACAGACCCAAGGGTGGAGCCCTCACTAGGTACCCTGCCCTTCTCTACCCAGCACTCCCCTACCCCACCCTGTATCATTAGGGCTTATTGTGTATGCTTTTATCTTATTACCATATACATTAAACTAATATGCCACTCTTGTATTTTGTAACAGCCTTATAAGAGTATACTTTGATTTCCTCTTGCTAGACTTGGTGAAGTTTTGATACATTTTACATTTTCACATGTTATGAAACTCAGACTACATTGTTTCTGTTTTAAACAATTTTCTTTAAGAAATCTAAATAATGTCTTTTATATTTACCCCAATAGTTAAGTCTCATTTTCTTTATTCATTTGTATAGATCCTGATTTTGATCTGGTATTGCTTCCACCTGGAGAACTTCTTTTTACAGTTTTTATAGGGAAAGTTTTTCAGTAATGTAGCTCTGAAAAAATTTTCTGTGTGTGTGTGTGTGTGTGTGTGTTTCCTGTGGCTACTTTTAAAATTGTCTTTTCTTCACTGGGCTTAAGTAATTAGTTGCAATGTCCCTTGGTGTAGTTTTCTTTATATTTCTTGTGTTTGGAGTTTGTTCTTTCTCTTGGAAATGTGACTTTATAGTTTTCGCCAAAATTACAAAATTTGGAGCATTATTTCTGCAAAATTTTTTTCTGCACACCTCTTTCCTTCATTCAAGGAGCCAACTGTATATATATTAGGTTACTTAAAGCTGTTCGTGGCCCCCACAGGCTTTGTTCTTTTTTTTCAGTCTTTTTTTTATCTTTTGTATTTAATTTTGAATTGTTTCTATGGTTATATCTATAAGTTCACTAATCATTTTTTCCTGTAAGTCTTAATTTCCTCTTATTCTCATCCACTGTTAATATATTTTCTCAAACATCTAAAACATATACCATCACTCTTCATTTGTTTTTCTTTTTATTATTGTTCATATTTTTCTGCCTCTTTGTATGATTGACAATTTTTATTATATGGCAGATATTTTGAATTTTAGACTGTTGATTGGTAGACAGTTCTATATTCCTATGCATGTTCTTGAGTTCTATTCTTATATTTTTATTTTATCTTGTTTTTGGCCAGTAGTTTAAATTCATGTATGTAAAGTACAGGTTTCTGCTAAAATGCATGAGTATGTGTATATGTGTGTGTGTAAGAGAGAGAGAGAATAGGAGAAGAAAGAACAGCACAGAATGTGTGGGTGGATTATGTAAAGCTACTACATTTTTGCTTGTTATTTGTTGTTTCAGAAGCTCATATTATCCTCTATTTAAGTGTATGAAAGTGTATGAAAAACACAAGAGGATATATAGAAAGAGGAATGGGAGGAGAATGGAAGGAGAAGAGGGAGGGAGAGAGATAAAAAATGGAGAAGAAGAAGGAGGAGAAGGAGTAACAGGAAGAGAAGGAGAAGAAGAGGAAGAAAGGAGATGAGGAAACAGCATAGGTAAAGAAGAAGAGATAAAATAAGATATCAGAGAAGAAAGAAAGAATAATATAATCAGGCTGGTTACAGCAGAAATAGAACTGAGATTGCATGCTTGCATCTCTTTAAGACACTGAGAACGTAATGTGTATATAGGTAAGGGGTTACCTGTATACACAGTTTGAAGTAAAAGAGGGTAACAGCAATCACAACTAATCTGCAATATGGTGAAATTGTGAGATTTAATGGAAGAAACATTTTTATATATAGGTTTTCTTTGCCGTATTAAGTGATATACGTAGATTAAAATTTTTAGCTGACATGAAGGGTATTAAAATGCTAAGATGAAAATCACAGCGGAATCCATATTTTTAGTGTATAGCTATATATAATATCGGCCTTTTTGTTAATTGTGTTTTCAACACAGACAGTCCCCGGGTTACAATGGTATCACTTATGATTTTTTGACTTTATGATGTTGCAAAAATGATATGCATTCAGTAATACATGTGTTAGACCTGAGACATCTAGTTATAAGCAGTAGAAATCTGTGTTAGTCTTGAGGCATCTAGCTGTGAGCAGCAGAAATCTGTTTTAAACTTGCTTAGGCAAAGTGGAGACTTTAATATAATCATGGCTACCAAAAACTGTGGGCTCACATTCCTTACCAACTCGCCTACCCCTGGTCTGTGTTCCAATTTTGAAAATTCGAGCAGGTAACTATGTGACTTGGCTTGTGTTATATATGAAACTTCAACCATTATAGAAGCAAGAAGGTGAGGAATTAAGGTTGGCAAATTGTGAGTCACTTGTCCACTGATCATCACTGTTAAAGAAAATGTGGTTAAGCAAAGGGAGCTCTAATTAATTCACACTTTCAACCAGATGTTGTTACCAGAAATAAAAAGAAACAACATAAAATAATGATCTCCCCGTACTGTTTACCATTCACTTGTTGTTAAACAAGAATGGCTTCATTTCTTTCTATCTCTGACCAGAGCATTAAATAATTGATTATACTTTTACAACTTAGCATACATTTTTTTTCTGTAAAAAGAAATAAGAGCTCCAATTTCTATCATAAAAGCAAAAGAAATGATCAAATGAATTTAAAAAATATATTATGAGCAATTTAAAGGTAATGCAACATGGGGGGGGAAATAAACCAGTGTGGCACATTAAAGGAAACCGTTCCCTTGCTTGGTCCTGTGGAGGATTTGAATCTCACCGTCTAAATTCTGAGCTCTCTTTAACCACGACTTAAGTGTCCATTGTTCATAGCATCTACAATAAGAAAATATAGTTTATTTACACTACTTTCTCCTTTTAAAATCTGTTTTCTAGGGAGAAAAGGGATTCTTTTGTTGAATAAGAACATCTATCATAGTTTAAACATAATTCCAGGAATGACAGGTACCTTATTTAGATAAGGTGACACATTACAGCTTCCTTTCCCCCTCCTTTTTCTTATAGTGAGATCTATATGGAGACAAAATTACTCCATCAGACCAACTAAGTATCAAAGTCAGGCCTCATCTTCTGAGTTTTATGTTTTGAATCCCCTTGAATTCATCTTCTAGCTATTTGAAGGACATTTGAAGTGGATTTCTGGTTTCTGTTGGTTACATTGAGTGATAATGCTGACTGAAATTATTTTTCGTAGAAAGGTTATTGGCAGGAACTGTAGTGCTTCTGAAATGCTGCTACAGGCTGTTAAGAATTGGATTAAAAAGGAATGAAATAGCTCTGAATGTCAGTGCTCACTATTTAAAATATAGTTTAAATCTTTCTTAAGTTCTAATTCATAATGAATTTCATCGACGTCATGGAAAAATTCCATTCCTGATGTTTTATACCCTGTATTGTGCCCTTATTTGCAGCAAAACCTCCAACATTTAATTAATTAATAAAATAGGATGTTTGTGAGCGTTTCTTTTCTTTGAATTCAATTGTTTGACTTGATGTGACTGTAAGAATTGAAAATAGTTGTTAGATAAATATATCACCATTTTAAGGTATAAAATAAAAACAAAAGTGATTCCTGGGACCATTGTAAAGGAAAAAAACATATAAATACTTATCACAGAAGATTGCTTTATTTCCTACTGAAAATTGTGCACATGTATCACATTAGAGATAAACCCCATCTTTATGTTTAGATGTAGTAGTTGCCTATGTGATCTGATGTAGGGTTACAAGCAGATATGCCAGGTCTCAGAGGACAGTCTCACTGGACTGCCTCACTGCCACTGAATAAAGTCATTTCCTAATTCCTCTTAAAATGTATATATCTTGTATGGAAAGTGGGTATGGATTTTAATATAAAATACTTCAGATTTGCAAGGAACAGAGTATTGAAAGAATAGAAAACACACTACTGTTCAGTTTTTCTTTTAAACCATTGTATTATCATTATTCATAACAAGTATATATGCATGCAGATATATAAATTCAGGGAGAAAGCAAAGAAAAAAATAATCATCCATCTCCACTAGACAGGCTTAGCCATCATCAATATATTTGAATATCTTTGCCTTCAATCTTTACATTTTAACAAAAGCCCTTTGTGTAAAAAATGACACACTCAAATAATGCAGTTTTCACATAACTCAAAAAATTATATAAAAAATACAAATCCTGCCATTCATAGATAAGCATCATTAATATTGGCTAAGAATGTTTGCAGAAATATTTATCTTCATAGATAGAATACATACATTATAGAATGCATGGAGGAATAGAAAGATGGAGATATGAATAGATAAACTGCATATAAAACATATAGATAACATTGAAATGGAGTAAATAGCTTGAGAAATAATCAAGAAACTCCAACTATGAAATCTGAGAGCTTTAATTATGACCTATAACTTTTTCCTCAATTATTCACTAATATAGGTTATTATTTATGCACTGTTTTTAACATTTGTTTTCTGTCCTCTATGATTCTTACAAGTGGCTATTACTAATTCTATTTTTTAAATGAGTTAGTGTTCACTACTGGCCTATTAGCACGGCTTTCCCATTCCTCAATTTTTTATTTTTAGTAATCAGATAATTGCATAGATTTTGAAATTAATACCTACAAAACATCTCATTTTTTTATTCCACCAGTTCATTCGTGTTTTGGAATGTCTACCTGTCGTCTTTTTATTTGTCAAAAACTGTGGCTTGTAGTGTACGTGGTTCAGGGTTTCACTGAAAACTTTATAGACTGTTCTGCCATCTTCTGGCATTAAACCTTGCTGTAGGTAATTTGGGGGTCAGTCTTACTTATTTTTTTCCTAATAAAGCAATGCCCTTTCTGTCCTGATGATTGAAGAATTGTTTTCGTAATTAGAAAGTCCAATAAATTAATGAAGTTACATAACTCTTTTGAACACTTTTAAAATAAAAATTTTCTATAAAATCAGTCTTGCGTGAGATTCAATTATTTTTGCAGCTAGGAAAAAAATATAGAATTACAGCATTGACTTTATATATTTTCAATGTTATGAATTGATTTTTTATTATTCTCACATTTAGAGGCATACATTATAGGGGTTTTTATTTTACGTGTTTCAGTCTCTTTCTGATTGCTTTTAACACAACTTTATTCAGCATGTTATGATTACTCTAAGTCATCTTTTTTTTTGGTAATAACTTGATTTTTAGTGGTGCCTAATTAGTTCACTCCTGTTTTAATTTGTTTATTAATTCAAAATAACTTTTTGTCTATTTCATTATTAGGTCTTTAATTTCTTCTTTTATTTTCTATAACTCTTGTTATATTAAATTCAATATTTATTAATATATTCTAAGATATAAAAATTATGACAAATTTCCTTTTATTCCATAAGATATATTTTTTCTAGGTTTTGAACTTTGCCTTTGACACATCGGTTGCATGTATTTAAGTAGTTACTCATTCTTTTAACTTTGGACATGCTTTCAATGGCCTTGTGTTGACAGTATATTTACTCTGATGTAATATGGAGAATTTGATATTATTTTCACTGAAAATAGTTTTTCTTTCCTGTTCAATGTAGAGATGAAGGCTAAATTTATATACATTGTCTTCACCTTTTTGTAACCTGATCTAATGATAAATATGGAAGTGAATGGAGGACTTGGGGAGAGAAAGGAACAAAATTCAGTAATTAATATAGATAATATTTTAAATAAAATTTAGTTTATTTGCTCTCCTTTGAGGTGTTGCATATCCCTTAACTGGATTCAGATCACCAAGTTCGTGTATAAATAGAATTCCCCAAGTGGGATGTCCTTGAGTTTTGAACCACCTCTATAGTTCAATGTGTAGAAACAGAGGCTTCAATTTTTTTTTTCCAATAGGTGAGTAAATCCTATTGTAGGTTCTTCTTTTTAGCTGGTTCTGCTTTATGGCAATTTTTTTTTACTACCACTAGATATGAAAAGGAAAAATAAATAAAAGGGTATTTAATCATATTTGTAGGTGATGCCAAAAGGTGTTCCAAAGAGATTACATGAATTTCTACTCACACTAACACTCCATGAAAATTTATGTAGCCCCATATCAAGCCACACTCAGCATTTTCAGAGCTTTTATTTTGCAAATCTAATAGTTGTGCAGTGATACTACGTTGCAGTTTTCAAGTGTGCTTTTCTGGTTACTAATGAATTTGACAATATTTCATATGTTTATAGGCATTTGCAATTCCTCCTCTGTCAGAAATCTATTCCTAAATTTAACATGTTATTATATTTAGTTGCTTATAATTTTCTTATTTATGTGTTATACTTCACTATGTATTATGGACATAGACTACATTTTTTTCACTTTTCATAGTATTCTTTAATAAACAAAACTTTTAATTATAATATACTCAAATTTATCAAGATTGTGTTTATATATTTTTCCTTATGAATATTATTTAATAAATTCTTTCATATTCTGATATTTTAAATATATTATCTTACAATATAATTCAATGTTTATACTCTCTTTTTTGCACTTAGGTAACTAATCAACCTGAAATACAGTGTGAAATGAAAAATAATTTGGTTTTCTATGTTGGTATTATAGTGTGTGGAATTTTGGCTCCCAAAAAAGGATATGTGCAAATCCTAATCCCTAGAACTTGTGAATATGACTTTATTGGAAAAGAAGGTATTTGCACATGTAATTAAGGATCAAGATTAAATTCAATAGCAAGCATCGTTACAAGAAAAGAGAAGGGGAGAGGACACACAGAGGGGAATGTTATGTGAAGACGGAGGCAGAAATTAGAGTTATGCTACCTGACCCAGACAACACCTGGAGCCATCAGAAACTAGAAGAGGCACAGAAGTATTCTCCCATAGACCCTTTGTCAGAGGTGTTTGAGCCAGACTGAATTCATCCTGAATAAGAGCTGGGTAAAGTAAAGCTGAGACTAACTGGGCTGCATTCCCAGGATGTTAGGCATTCTCAGTTACAGGATGAGATAGGAGATTGGCACAAGATACAGGTCATAAAGTCTGCTGATAAAACAGGGTGTGGTAAAGAAGCCAGCCAAAACCTATAAAAACCAAGATGGTGATGAAAGTGACCTCTGGCTGTCTTCACTGCTCATTATACGCTAATTGTAATACATTGGCATGCTAAAAGACACTCCCACCAGCACCATGGCAGTTTACAAATGCCATGGTGAGTTCTAGAAGTTACCTTATATGGTCTAAAGGAGAGAGGAACCCTTAGTTCAGGTAAATCCCCTCTCTTTTCCCGGAACACTGATGAATAAGCCACATCTTGCTAAGCATATAATCAAGAAATAACTATAAGTGTATTCAGTTAAGCAGCCCATGTTACTCCTCTGGCTATGGAGTAGCCCCTCTTTTTTTCCTTTACTTTCTTAATAAACTTGCTTTCACTTTACTCTATGGACACATCCTGAACTCTTTCTTGTGCAACATCCAAGAACCCTGTCTTGGGGTGTGGATCAGACCCCTTTCCAGTAACTCCTTTGGAGGGAGTATGGCCCTGCTAGCACGTTCCATCCTCCAGAATGAGAGAGAATAAATTTCTATTGTTTCAAGTGAACAAATTTATGTTTATTTCTTACTGCAGGTATAGGAAGCTAATAGCTAAAAAGCACCCAACACAATTGTTGAAAACTTCACCCTTTATTTATGTTTATCTACATCTATCAAATATCTGGTGTCCTTGTAAGCACGAATCTGTCTTTGCTCTGTCCAGCACTGCCTAGCCTGCCTGTCTCATCTAAGGATGATAAAAGGTAAGAAAACTATTATATGGGTCATAAGCCAGGATCATAAGTCCATGTAAAGACTGAGATTTTCCTACCCCACACTTTAACACTACCTTAACAGGATCTCAGCATAATTACAGAGGATTTCAAGAGAAAGAGCTACAAGCAGACTTATGTGGGAGTTATTAGAGAAAACTCAAAAAACAGGGGAAACAAAAACAGTGACACACGAGGAAATTGAAGCCTCTCTGCATATAGCAAACATTAAATATAGCCTAACTCTTAGCCAAGTTAATGTAAAACTTTATAGTACAAGTCTATTCCATTTATTTGCCCGTTACTCAATGCACAGTGCTCAGGTTTTAACAAAAGTTTTCAAGGCATGCAAAAGGCAAAATATAGTTTGAAGAGAAAATGCAATGATCAGAAGCAGACGCATATATGACAGAAATGTTGGACTTATCAGAGAGAAATTTAAAATAACTATGATTTAACATGTTAAGGGTTCTAATGGAAAGGCAAAATGCAACAACATGGGTAATGTAAATTGAGAGATGATAAGTCTGAGAGAATTCAAAAAGAACTTCTAGAAATCAAAAACACTGTAAAAGAGACAAGGACATAAGCTGTTGAAAACAGTATTGATGGGCCGTTATTAGACTGAACAAAGCCAATGAAAAAATTAGTGAACTTGTCAAACTGAAATGCAAAGATAAAACAAACAAACAAACAACAAAATAATATTAAAACCCAGAGGCCAGGCACGGTGGCTCATGACTGTAATCCCAGCACTTTGGGAGGCTGAGGTGGGCAGATCACAAGGCCAGGAGTTCGAGATCAGCCTGACCAACATGGTGAAACCCCATCACTACTAAAAATACAAAAATTAGCTGGGCGTGGTGGTACATGCCTGTAATCCCAGCTGCTCACGTGGCTGAGGCAGGAGAATCGCTTGAACCCAGAAAGCGGGGGTTGCAGTGAGCCAAGATCGCGCCACTGCACTCCAGCCTTGGTGACGGAGTAAGACTCTGTCTCAAAAAAAAAAAAAAAAAAAAAAAAAAATCCAGAAAGAACATCCAAGATGTGTGGGACAAGTTCAAGAGGTTTATCATAGTAAGTAAAAATGGCTGGGAATTACTCAAAATTAACATCAGAGACGAGAACAAAGAATCAGGAATTTTATAGAAATTCATGCGGGACACATTTTAAGAACATCCTACACCTATTCACATGTCTTAGTCTTCTCAGGCTACTGTAACAAAATCCCATAGACTTGGTGGTTTAAAGAACAGAAATTTGTTTCTCACAGTTTGAGAGGTTGGAAGTCCAAGTTCAGGGTTCCGGTGAGGTGAGATTCTGGTGAGGGCTGTCTTCCCGGCCGGCAGAATTTGGTTCTCTTCTTGCTGTGTTCTCCCATGGTAGGGTGAGAGGCAGCAAGTTTTCTGTTGTTTTTTCTAGGAAGGGCAATAATCCCATCGTAAGGGTCCTGCCTTCATGACCTCATCTAAACCTAATTATCTCTCAGGAGTTCCAACTCCAAATACCATCACACTGGGACTTAGGGATTCAACATATAAATTTTAGAGGGATACAATTCAGTCTGTAGCAGCAGACCATTTTCAAACCACAGAAAACCAAAGACAAGGAAAAAAATCTTTAAAGGATTCGAGGTTGGGAGTGTGAGTCGCCATACCTAATGAATAAAAAGGTAAAAATTACAGTAGACTTTTTCTGAGAAGTCACGCTATCAAGAAGAAAGTGGAGTACAATATTTAAAGCCTTGAAAGAAAAAATAATAACAACATTAGGAATTTTATATCTAATGAAGTTACTCTTTAAAATGAAAGAAATAAAACTGTTCTCAAATAAACAAAAACTGAGACAACTCATTCTCATTAGACCTGCCACACAAGAAATATTTAAAGCCCTCTGGTAGAATAAAAATGATGTAGGTGAGAAATTTGGACCTAAATAAAGAAAGACTGTAAGTGAAGACATAAAGAAAAATAAAGTTTTTTTCCTTATTTTTAATTCTACATGGAAACTGTTTAAAATTATACTTTTAACAGTGTATTCAGTGCCAAAACACATGAGTAAGTAAAATGAATGGCAGTAATATCATAAGGAATAGGAGTGAGGAATTTGGAATACTCTTATAAGTTATCTGTACTACATGTGAAATGTCAGATTTTAATTTGAAGGCAGGTTTAGATTAGTTAAAAATGTGTATTACGCCGGGCGTGATGGCTCACACCTGTAATCCCAGCACTTTGGGAGGCCGAGGGGGGTGGATTGCCTGAGCTCGAGAGTTCGAGACCAGCCTGGCCAACATGGCGAAACCCCGTCTCTACTAAAAATACAAAAAATTAGCCAGGTGTGGTGGCAGGCGCCTGTAGTCCCAGCTACTTGGGAGACTGAGGCAGGAGAATCCCTTAAACTCGGGAGGCAGTAGTTGCGGTGAGCCGATATCGTGCCACTGCACTCCAGCCTGGGTGCCAGAGTGAGACTCCGTCTCAAGAAAAAAAAAAAAAATTATATTACAAACTCTAGTACAAACATTTAAACATAAAAAGTATAATTTAAATGCTAAGAAATGAAATGAGAAAGAAGTGTATAAAATGTTCAATTAAAATAAGATAATGATGAAAAAGAGAAAAATTTTTCAAGAGCAATGAGTAAAAACAGTTATATGCGTCATGGATATTATCCAACTATGCCCTTAGTTGCTTAATATGTGAAAGTTCTGAATATATCAAGTACAAAACAGAGATTGTCAGAGTGAATATACGTTAAGGTAGCTATATGTTTTCTACAAAATCTCATTTTAAGTATAGAGACCTAGATAGCTTAAATAAAATGCATCTGGAAAGATATACCACATTCAAACTAGACAAAGCAGCTATATTATTTCCAATAAAGCAGAATTCAAAACAAGGAAAATTATCAAGGATAAAGAGGGGCATTATAAAATGGTATAGTTGTCAGTACTCTAAGATGGCATAATAATCCTTAATGTATTTGCACCGAATAATCGAATGTCAAAATATTTGAGGCAAAAACTGATAAAACTGCAAAAAGAATAGGTGGAGACTTCAACGACCCTCTTTCAGTAAGTGATAAATTAAGCAGGTAGAAAATCAGTAAGAATATAGTTCACCTTAACAGCACTATCGACCAACTTGATCTAATTGACATTTTATAGAATACTTAAAACAACAGCAGAATAAACCATTTTCTCGAAGCTCTCATGGAACATTCACCCAGACAGACTGCAGTCTGGGCTATAGAGCACACCTTAACAAATTTAACATAACAGCATACAAAGTATGTTCTTCAACACAGTGGAATTACACTAGAGATCAATAACATAAAGATAGATGGATATCCTAACATATTTTTAAATAGCATATAAATCAAAGAAGTCTTAAGATAAACTTTTAAAAAATTAGAACTAAACGAAAATTAAAAATTCAACTTTTCGAAGTGTTTGGATACAGCGAAAATAGTGCTTGGTGGGAAATTTATAACATAAAAAGCACATATTATCAGAGAAGAAAGATGTGTTTATCTAGTCAACTTTTTTTTTAGATTCAGTGGGTACATGTGCAGGTATGTTACCTGCATAAATTGTGTGAAGTTGAGGTTTTGAGTATGAATAATTCTGTCACCCAGGTCTTGATCATAGTACTCTATATAGTTAGTTTTTCATCCCTTGTCCCTATCCTCCCCTCCCCCCTCTATATTTAATAACAATAACCTAAACTTCCATGTTAGGAGACTAGAAAAAGAAGGGCAATTTAAGCCTAAAGCAAGCAGAAGAAAAGAAATAAAAAAATGGAATGGAAATTAATAAAATTGAGAACAAAATTAGAGAAAATCAATAAAACCCAAAATGGGTTCTTGTAAAGATTAGTACAATTGATATACTTCAAGCCAGATTAACCAAGAAAAAAGAGAGAACATATAAATTACCAATATCAGAAATAAAAGAGTTATCATCATTAGTAATTCCATAGATACTAGGATAATAAAAGAATAAAACGGATGCCTTCATTTCTACAAAATTGAAAACAGGTTAAATGGGTGAATTCCATGAAAGACACAAAGTATCAAAACTTAAAAAGGAGATAATCCAATAGCTCTGAATTTGCTAAAGATAAAAAATAAGTAATAATAATGATTACTTTTCTAATCCTGCTGTAATGTTTCCAGAAACTTAGTGGCATAAAGCAACATATATGTGTTCCCTTACCATTGTAGATGTCAGAAGTTTAAAATGATTCTTCAAAGCTGCCTTCCTTCTTGAGTTTAGAGGGGACACCACAGGGGAGATCCTGTTTTTTTGTCTTTTTCAATTTTCAAAAGCAGCCTGCGTTCCTTGGCTTACGGCCACTCCCTTCATCTTCAAAGCTAGCATGGTAGCAGAGTTTTCTCCTCTCCAGCAAATTTGTAATACAAGGGAACTCCCTTAATTTGATAAAGAACAGCCACACAAAAAAACCTACAGCTAATGTCATACTTACTAGTATGAAACTGGATACTTTCCAACTAAGATTTGAACAAGGTGGGATATTCTCTCTAGCCACTTTTGTTCAGCATTGTCTTGTTATTACTGGCTGGTACAGTAGATAATAAAAAAGTATACAGGTTGGTAAGGAAAAAATAAAACTATTTTTTGCATATAACATGATATCTATATATAAAATCCCAAAGGACTGACAAGAGCAAAACTCTTCTACAAGCTGCAAGGGAATAGGACAAGGTCACAGGATACAAGATTTGATAGACATAATAATGGTTGCCCAGTGATGCCTATGTCCTAATCCCTAAAACCTGTTATGTTCTGTTAAATGACAAAAGGGACATTGAAGATGTTATGCATTTAACAATTTTGAGACAGGAAAATTATACTGGTTTATCTGAATGGGAACAATGCAGTCACAAAGGTCCATATGAGGAGGCAGGAGGTTCAGTTCGAGATGGCAACATGATGATAGAAGCAGAAATTACACAGCAGGAGAGAAAATTGAATGTTTCACTGCTGGCTTTAAACACAGTGGATGGGGCCACACAACAGCAATAAACAACTGCATTTTGAAAATTTTTATATGCCAGGTATAACACACACACACACACACACACACACGAAATCTAATAAAATATGTCCACAGTGTATATGTTGGAAACTTGAGAACTCTAGTAAAAGAGCCAAAGTGGTTCTAAATAAACGGAGATACATTCCATATTCATGGAATAGAATAGCCAATATTGCTAAGATGCCAATTCTTCCAAACTTGACCAATAGACTTAACACAATCCTCCTCAAAATCCTTGCAAACTGTTGTGTAAATATTAGCAAAATATTTATAAAGTCTATATGGAAAGGCAAAAGATCAAGAATGGACAAAAACTTTGAGAAGCTGGGCTTTATTAAAATTGAAAACTGCTCTATGAGATACTGATGAAAAAATCGAGACAAACCACAAAGAGGTATAAAATATTTCAAAACATATATCTGATAAAGGATTCCTATCCCAAATAAAAAAATAACTATTAAAACTCAGGAATAAGAAGACAAACCTCAAATTTATAAAATTGTACAGAAGACCAGAACTGGCAGCTTACCTTGGAGGAGATGCAAATGGCAAATAGCATGTGAAGGAATGCTGAATATTATACATCATTAAAGAAATACATGTTAAATCAACAATGAGATACTATTACACACCTATTAGAATGATTTTAATTCAAATCTGTTACAATATATCCTGCTGGTGAAGATGTAGCAAAATAAAATATCATTCAGTGTTGGTCAGAGTGCAAAATTATACAGTCATTTTGGAAGATAGTTCTGGCAGTTTCGTACAACAACAAAGGTATAATTATATGATCCAGAAATCATGTTCCTAAATGTTTACCCAACTGATTTAATGATTTATGTCCACACAAAAACCTGCACACAAACATTTATAAGAGCTTTATTTATAATAACCAAAACCTACAAAAAAAAACAAGTTATCTTTCAATAGGTGATTGGGTCAATGGATATATTGTATGATATAACCACACAATAGACTCTGATACAGTGATAGAAAGAAATTATGTACAAGCCCTAGAAAGAACTGGATGAGCTAAATACATAATGCTAAGTTAAAGTCAGTTCCTAAAGGCTACATATTCAATGAATAAAAATACTTATTATTGACAATCTTAATAAAGGCACACTACATAGACAATGAAAATATTAGTTATTGTCAGAGCTTCAGCAGAAGGGAAAAAAGGTTGAATAGGTGAAGCAGAAGGGAAATTTGAGGATGGTGAAACAATCTCTTAATATCCTACAATAGTAGATACATGACACCTCACATTTGTCAGAACCTGTTGAACTTTATAACACAGTGAAACATAATGTATGCCTATATTTACAACAATCATTTAAGGAGTTAATGGAATCCAAGGATGAAACTCAGAATACAGAAAACAATCTGACAGTATTACAAATGTCTAAACCACCCCACCAAAAAAAAAAAAAAATGTGGTTGGAGAAAAGTGCTGACTTAAGTAACTTTTGAAATGAGTGACATTTGTAGAACTAAAGATCAAAGAAACTGTACATAACCCTGTACTCTAATTGATAAAGTTACATCCCATGGGGGTATGAGTTAACAATTCTGGTAATTGTATACATTTATTCTGGAAATGAACAATAAGTTAAACAGTTTGCAGATGGTGGGAACCAGTTTTCTTACTCTTTGAGTGGGAGTTGCAGATAAGCAAGTGGAGGAGGCAAAAATGATCTATGTGATAATGGATTGTAGTTGGAGACGTTACTATGAACTCAAAATAACTTAATGTAGATACAGATGGTTTTACAGAGAAATGGTCATAAGTGTGTCTATATATAAGTTAGTATACATGGATATATTTCATTTTTCAGTCAGCTGAAACGGCCTAGAAACACCACCACAACAGCAATGAAAACATTTAATTCCCAGACATTCGTGTCTAATGCTATTTGCAATAAAAGGAATCAGCTTTTATTAAAAATGGCTGATTGCAAGATTGAGGCAGAAAATATACAGGATAAGTCTGGAGGATCTTTAAGTAAGATAAACACAAGAAAATAAATACTCAAAAAAAAAACACAAACAAAATAAAACCACAAAAACACAATGATGGGGAAATATCAAAGGGATATAGGAGTCAAATGAAAAAGCTCATAATAACCAAAGCTGAAATAATTTGTGCAACAAAATATAGTATTTTATATTATTATATTTCTCAATATTACATAAAATATTAAATAAATATTCAAGAGTTCTCATACAAACATTATTGAATAAAAGTGGAGAAGAATTAGCAGATTTTCTGTGAAGAATAAAATTAATTTCTATAGATACCCATCCTCAAATAGGCAGAACATAATTCCTTCTTCATTAAATCTGACTTCTTTCCAAAATGGACAACATTGAAAAGAGTAAATTTACTGTGTAGAAACATGAGAACACTAACTCAGTGAGGGAATCAGGTCAACATCAATAGTGATAAAGAATGTTTATACTCTATATCCTTGATATGATGTGAAGGAAATGGTATCTTATATCTGTAGTCTTCCTTCCCCAAACCTATAACTCCAGTGTAATCATGGAAAATAAAGCCATGTAAATCTCAATATAAGGATGTTCTGCAAAATATCTAAACAATACTCCTCAAAACTGTCAAGGTAATTAAAGACAAGATAAGTTTGAGAAACTGTCACAGCCAGAAAGGGCCTAAGGAGACATGATGACTGAATGGAATGTAATAGCCTGGATGTAATCTTATAGTAGAAAAAAGACATTAAGCTAAAAACTAAGGAAATCTGATAAGGTATTGACTTTAGTAATGATAATGTATTGATATCTGTTTATTAATTGTGAAAAATATGTTATTCATCCTAGTGTAAGATGGTAATAATAGGGGAAGAGAGTATGACATATGTGGAAATTATACCTGTCATCCAGCATTCTGGTTCAGTAATTGTCTCTGTGTCAATTAGCCAATTAATCTTGAATTTTTTTTCATTTGTTAAATAAGAAAAAAACATCCAGAAATCTAGAATTATTACATTTTTCTTTTAGGTTCTTTATTTTTTCATTAATACAACAGATAATTATTTAATGTCACCTGCTTGCAAAACATTATTCCTGACATTATTTCATAGCAGTAAACTAAGCAGATAACGGTACTTTCTCAGAGAAGTTAGAGTTTATTGAGAAATAGATATTAAATAATTAGCTACAAATGTGGTTATTTGAAAACAATTTTAAGCACTAAAAAAGAGGTATAAATTGTGTACATGTGACTAGATAAGTGAAATGTAATTGGATTGATGTTCTGTAATGAGGTGGAAGTAGACTAAAAGACATTGGGCTATATCATGCTAGGTTATAAAAGTATGCCAAGAAGGTGGCCACTTTCTTAAAGGCAATAAGAAACTATGTACATACTTAATGGTAGGAAGAGTTGACATGAAAGATTTGCATTTTTGTAAAATGACAGGAATGAACGTAGAAAGACAACTTTGGAGAAGATGGTACCAATATAGATATAAAATCACGATTTTTATTACAACAAAACATTGGTGATAGTGACTAGGGTGTTTGCCTTAAATCAGACTACCTACTCTTCTACCTACGTTATCTCTTCTGATGTGGAGCAATTTGATGATATGTCTTACCCCATGTTTAGCAATCTTATAGAGAAAATACCAAGAGTTTCTGGGACTTAGCTTCTCATGAAATGATGGAATAATCCATTATGTTTTAAATGGATATTTTAAAATAAGTAACAGAAAAGATTAGTTGATTTAAGAAAACTCAACATTTTTGGTAGCATTCAGAAGATATTCACGGATTCAAATTTTAATAAAAGCTTATTCAACAACTCAAAAAAGAGGGGTAGATATATTTGGAAGATGTGAAAGAAATCAAAATAAGGGAATATAAAAGGACTGCTGCAGAACTAACATATTGCCTTATATGCCCATTTTTTTAATGCCCACTTAAAAGTTAGGCAAACTGCTCACACATGTCCATCACTGTGCTTCTTGCCTGACTTTTTTTTTTTAAAGACTATTTTTAGAGGAGTTTTAGGTTCACAGCAAAATTGACTGGAAGGTACAGATATTTCCCATATACCTTTGTCCCCTTCACATGCACAGCCTCCCCCAATATCAACGTTCTCCATCAGGTGGTACAATTGATGAACTTACAATGACACATCATTATCCAAAGTTTACAGTACACATCAGGTATCACTCTTGTTGTTGTACATGCTATAGGTTTGAACAAACTTATAATGACATGTATCCACTACTATACTATCATATAGAATAGTTTCACTGCCCTATAAATCCTCTTTGCTCTGTCCATTATCCCTCCCTCCCCCATAACCCCTGAAAACTACTGAGCTTTTTATTGTTTCCATAGCTTTGCTTTTTTTCAGAATGTCACAAAGTTGGAATCATACAATATGTACAATATGACACATTTTCAGATTGGTTTCTGTCATTAGTAATTAATATACATTTGTTCTATGTAGATTTTTTTATGGCTTGATAGTTCATTTCTTTCAATTTCTTTCAATTGCTGAATAATATTCCATTGATTTGATGTCTCATAGTTATTTATCCCATTCACTTACTGAGGGACGTCTTGGTTGCCTCTAAGTTTTAGCAAAATTATTTTAAATCCTCTATAACATCCATGTGTAGGTTTTGTATGCACATAAGTTTTTAACTCTCTTATGTAAATACCAAGAAGCATGATTACTAGTGATATGGCAGGAATAGGTTTTGTTTTAAAAGAAACGACCACACTGTATTCCAAAGTAGCTATACCATCTTGCCTGGCTTTTTCAAAAGCTAACAGAACAAAATTTCGGGGAAAATATAACTAATTTTCAGTAAAAAAGATGAAGTTAACAACAAAGTAATGAAAAAATTAAAACAATTTAATTAAAATATTAACAAAAATGTGATAATTTTAAATTATTAACAAGAAAAGCCAAATATGAAAACAAAAAGAAAGTGCCATAAAAGAGAAATGAAACAAAAGAAGGTAAGAACAATTAAAATATAACTTTCAGTTAAAACCAACAACTAAGAGCATACAAATAAAACATGGAAATATTATTAAAATGAAATGAAATGAAATGTAAACTCTGATAGCAGCTTCTAAGCTGACTCTCGGCGTTCTCCATCTCCAGGAACTCATGCCCTTGTGCAATTTCTTCCTGTAGAGTGTGGACTAGACATACTGACTTGCCTCTCATGAAAAATAAAAAAAACATGGCAGAAGGGATGGGATGTCACTTCAAAATCAAGCTATAAAAGACTGTGACATCTGTCTTGCTGGCACTCCTTCTTTCTCTCTCTTGCTGGCTCTTCTGGCTTCGTAACACTGAGGAAGCAAGTTCCAGTGTTGTGAGTTGTCCTATGGAGATACCCATGAGGCAAGAATGTGAGAGTAGCCTCCAGCCAAAAGCTACTAAAGGACACCCAGTCCAAAGGCTTGAAGATACTGAATCCTGATGGCAGCCACATAAGCAAGTTGGGAAGTGGATTCTCCCCAAGAAAGCCTTGAAATTACTTCAGCACAGGATGACACCTTGTGAAAGATCCTGAGCCATAAGCCTTAACTAAACTGTACCCGGATTCCTGACCACAGAAACAGACATAATAAATAGTATTGTTTAAACAATTCAGCTTTGAGTCATTTTTTTTTACCTTACCATAGTAACTAATATGTAAATTAAAAAGGTAAGGCATTTATTTTTAAAATTCAAAAGACATTTTTTCTAAACTCACTAACTTAACACTATTATGCAATTAAAATCTGGCCTCTTAAAACTAAGCTATGTACAGTGACTTTCTGAAACCCAAATATTCACATATTTATCCTTTCATGGCTTTGATTTTCAATGGACTTTTTCAAGCAGTACATTCTAATAATGAATGATCTAAACACATACAACCCTTGGCCTTGCCCCTTTAGCTCACAGCAGTTCTGTGTTTGACATTCTTCCTTTTGTAGGGGGCTGCATTGATTCTAGGCTTATTGATTCTGGGTGCCCTTGAAAATATTTAAACCAACAGAATATGGTTGAACTAAGATTTTATGACTTTCAAGGCCAATGTTACAAGGTCATGTAGCTTCTACCTGATTGATTCTCTTGTGATGTTCTTTCTAGGAAATGCTATTAACCATCTAAGAATGCCGACTACCATGAGATCACCAAGCTGGAGAGGCCACGTGTAGATGAACTATTAAATAGCTCCAATTGAGTTCCCAGCTGTCATCTAGCCTCAGCTGCCAGCCACTTGAGTGGGCCATCTTGGAGGCCAGCCCACTTGGGCTTTCAGATAACTGTAGCCTCATCCAACATCTGAAACATGAAAGTCCAAGTAAGAACCACCCAGTCAATCCAATCCAGGATTCCTCACTCACCAAATAGTGAGCAAGATAAAATAGTTGTTTTCAGCTGCTAAATTTTGAGGTGATTTGTTTTGCCACAATAGTAATCTGAACAAGTGGCATGTTCTAACAGCTTTTATATCACTGTGGATAAAATTTGTCTTTAACTCAAGCTGTTCCAGTTACTTTTTCTCCATGATTCCTACTGTATAAGGTGATGCACTCAATAGAGAACCTTATTTTATAAGAAAATTTGCAGAATATTTCCTTTCTAAAATTGACAGAGCTCACTTTTGATAAAAACTTTCAACTGTCATCATGCTGAATCCATATTTAGATGAGGTGAATCAAAGCTTATTTTTTGGTTAGTGACACATAACTTCAGAAGTGTGTCTTATCTAATTACAATTTTATCTTTATTCTCTACATATAGCTGTTCCACAATTAATTACAATTTCTCTCTGCATTATTATAATTTTGCTGTTTCTTGCCATACCAATACAAGCCCTTTTTCATATTTTAAAATAGCCTCATGCTTTAAAATGACAAAGACCCTGACAAGGTGTTCCTACATGGATGTTGAATGCACTATATTGTACAACTATAAATTTTCTTTAGGAAGTACAAAAGTAGATCAGGTTGACTGGAAAGGGTCATGAGATTTTTTTTTTTTTTTTGACTGATATGGAAGTTCTATATCTTGATTAGGGTGGTGGTTCCACAGTTGTATAAACTTTCAAAAATATTTTAACTGTACACTTAAGGTTGGTATATTTTATTATACATAAATTGTGACCTAATAAAAACAATATAACCTCCAGAAAAAATTATGATAATTTTGAATATAAATTATAATTATAATATAAAATTATAATAAGTTCTTGCTTTGATATATTTATCAATTTAACTTCTACTGAGGTTTCTCTGTGTATTGCTTCAGGCAGGTTGTAAACAAGTGGCACTTTGAAAAAGGATAATTAGATAATATAAAAAATATCTTATCTACAAATGTATGGATATAAATGTGTGCAATTTCCAGAAATCTATAGACGTGGTTAAGAAAAGCAACAAGGTTAGTGATTCTTCCAACCTCACTACCAATCCCAGGGTTTAGCAATAGTTAAACATTTTAGCACCATTTAGGAAAAAAGGGTCAAAGAGATGGAGAGATTGAAAGGCTCACGCCTGTAATCCCAGCACTTTGGGAGGCCGAGGTGGGCGGATCACGAGGTCAGAAGGTCCAGACCATCCGGGCTAACACGATGAAACCCCGTCTCTAATAAAAATATAAACAATTAGCCGGGCGTGGTGGTGGGTGCCTGTGGTCCCAGCTACTCGGGAGGCTGAGGCGGGAGAATGGCGTGAACCCAGGAGGCGGAGCATGCAGTGGGCCGAGATCGCGCCACTGCACTCCAGCCTGGGCCACAGAGCGAGACTACCTCTCAAAAAAAGAAAAAAAAAAGAAAGAAAGAAATAACCCAGGAAGACTTGTAGCTTAAGTAGAGAAGGTATCTAACTGGGGATATATCCATGCATTGTTAATAAAAGTCAGAAGGAAACAGACATTGGCAACCTGTGATCAAAAGGATAATGATCACTTGAATAGGAAGATTTTATTCTCTTTTCAGGTTCCTAGTCTTTGCTTTCCGTTGATCACAGTCAACCAGAAGACAGAGCATGTGGTAGCCTGTCTTCATGATGAATGTCATTAAGCTGTTTACCTTTTTTCTTTTAATTACTCCATCAACAGGTGGAGTCTATCCCTGCCATTCTTTTGAATCTGCACTGGTGTTAGTGGCTTGTTTCACCAATAGAATGCCCTAGAAATAACTTCCTGAGACTTTTAAGGATAGATCATAAAAAGTATTGCAGCCCTCTCTTGGTGTAATTTTTCTTTTTATTTGTTTGTTTATTGTAGAGTTGGGGTCCCACTATGTTGCCCGGCTGGCCTCAAACTCCAGGGTTCAAGCAATCATACTACCTCAACCTCCTGTGTAGCTGGGAACATAGGCATGTGCCACTGTCCTGAGCAATTTTTCTTTTTGGGATAAAGGGGGAATTTGTTTTCTGTTATCTCCAACAGGGACATAAGATTATATAACTTTAAACTAATCGTTCAACATAGCCTTACGAATCTAAAAGAGTTGCATTCGAATCTTAGCTCTTGAATTAATTGTGTGGTTAATGGGAAATTTATCTAAAATTTGGGGGTCCCATATTTCTTTCTGGTGAAATTAAGGTGATAATGATTATTTTGTAGGGTGATTCTACAGATAAACCAAATTTCTTATGTAGAAAATGGACATTAAGCCTGGGGACAGTGGCTCACACCTGTAATCCCAGCACTTTGGGAGGCCGAGGTGGGCAGACCGACTGAGGTCAGGAGATCGAGACCAGCCTGGCCAACATGGTGAAACACTGTCTCTACTAAAAATATAAAAATTAGCTGGGCATGATGACCTATGCCTGTAATCCCAGCTACTCAGAGACTGAGGCAGAAGAATTGCTTGAACCCGGGAGGCAGAGGTTGCTGGGAGCTGAGCATGCCACTGTACTCCAGTCTGGGTGACAGAGCAAGACTCCATTAAAAAAGAAAAGAAAAGAAAAATGAAAAGAAAAGAAAATGAAGGCAAGGGAAGGGAAGGGAGGGGAGGAGAGGGGAGGCAGGGAAGGGGAATGGGAAGGGGAAGGGGAGGGGAAGGGAAGGGAAGGAAAGGGAAGGGAAGGACATTACTGAAAATTCACAAAATAGTTTCCTATGTGCTCATTTATGTTGCTAACAGAATTCATTTCCTTGTGGCCGTATAACTAGGAGCTCAGCTTCTTGGTGCCGGTTGCTTGGTGAACCCTCTCAGCTCCTAATATCAGCCTATAGTTCCTGAAAGCTGTTCATAGTTGCTTATCATTTTGGAAACTCCACATGACCACTTACTTCATTAAGCCAGCAAGGGAGTCTCTAAAGTGATTATTCTAACAAGACAAAGCCTAATGTAAAATAACTATGACAGTGATATCATATCACCTTCATCTTATTCTATTATGTACAGGAAGTCATAGGTCTCACCCACATTCAACGGAAGGAGGAAGAATTTTACAAGACCATGAAGACCAAACCTTGGAATCATGGATGAGGGGCAACCTTAGGGTCCATCTATAATAGTTTTTAACCTTTTTGTCATTTTCATTCTGTTTGACTTTTGTCTGATTAATTGGTTTCTAAATCTACACAGACACATACAAGAGGTCATTTTATATCTTGAGAGGAAATTGTATGCAGAATATTGAGGTTGTTTCTCCAGAGTCTCTTTTCTCTATGACATTGGTACCTTCATTCTGGCTCCCTTGGTAGCCCAGAAATCAGATTTGTCTACCCAGCCAAAGATGGCATTAGAGGTTGTAGGCTGCTCTATTCTGTTCATCCTCTATGCAACCAAGTGTGACTCTTCAGATTCTGACTGTGGTTCATGCTGCATAATGTCAAATGTCAAGACAGAAGGAGTGGTGTGTGCAGCCTCATCTTAAGCCATTTTTCTTCTGTGGTAGACAAAATACTGGATCCCCAAAGATATCCATTCCTTAATTTCTGAAACCTGTGAATGTGTTTCTTTACATGGCAAAAAAATACTTGCAGATATGAATAAATGAAGGACGTTGAGATGGGGAGACTGCCCTTCTGGAAGGGCTCGATGTAATCACACAGGATCTCCTAAGAGGAAGGAAGAGGTGTCAAAGACTGAGAAGGAGAAATGAAGGCAGAGGCAGAGTTCGAAGTGATGTGATTGCTAAAGGTGATACCTGGCCAAGGAATGTGGGAAGCCTCTAGAAGCTTGAAAAGGTAAGGAAATGAACTCTCCCCTAGAGCTTTCATAAAGAAAGCAGCTCTGCCAACACTTTGATTTTAGCCTCTTAAGGCCCATTTTAGACTTCTGATACCCAGATCTGTAATGTAGTAACTTCGTGTTGTTTTAAGCCCTTCATTTGTAGTAATTTGTTACAGCAGCACAAGAAAACAAACACACACTCTTTCCAGGATTCTGTCCCCTCAGTTCTTGCTCTTCTTCCTCTCTCTCTCTCTTGCTCTCTCTCTCATGTTTCTGTATTCAGATATTTAGTTATAATCAGTGAAATGTTAGTAAAATACCAGCTATTCCATCATACTGGAAGTAGAGGTTTGAAATAGACTTATAATCGTTACAAATTATGAATTCTATAATCTTTGCAATGTAAATCTCCTCACTTGATTCAGCTACAACATGAAGATAAAAATAGATTCCTTAATAGGTGACCCTGTGGATTATATGGATTTGAGTATTGCATTAGCCAGGGTTTTCTCTAGAGAGAGAGAACAAATACGAAATATGAAAAGGTATTCACTAGAAGAACTGGCTCATGCAATTATGGAGGCTGAGAAGTCCCATGACAGGCTGTCTGCTAGCTGGAGACCCTGGGATGCAGTTAGTGTAATTCAGTTCAAGTCTGAAGGCCTGAAAATCTATGGGGGCTACTGGTGTGAGTCCTGGAGCCCAAATGCCAGAGAATCTGGAGTTCTGATGCCCAGGGACAAAAAAAAAAAGTGTAAATCAGCTCTAAGAGGGAGAGAGACCAGTTCCCTTTTGCTCTGTTTTTATTCTGTGTCGACACCCAGCCAATTAGATGTTGTTTGCCTGCATGGATGGTATCTTCCAGACTTAGTACACTTGGACTCACATGCCAATCTCCTCCAGAAACGCCATCACAGGCATACCTACAGATAATACTTTATCACTTCTCTAGATATTCTTTAATCCAGGCAAGTCGACATCTAAAATTAGCCATGACAAGTATTAAACTATAAGAACCATATATTATAGAGATACAAATGTTGAGACATTCATTTTACGGTTGCATTCACCAGAAAAGTGACTCTCCTGTCTCAGAGTTTGAGAAATTAAAGCACATTCCTCAGCAAAATGAAAAATTTCTACCTAGTCGTTGATGTAAAAAAATTACTTGTAAGGAGGTGGAAACAAAACTGAGAAAAAAACTATGCAACACAAAGAATGTCATAAAATATAATGGATCTTTATAACATCAAAAACTGATAACATGATTTGACTCTGCAATAATGTAAAGGATGTCATGGTGATAAATCTCTTTGGATAATGAATATTTTTCTACCTTGTATATACATATTTTCTTTGCAGTTTTCACTCTGTTTTGAATCATATTATGTAAAACCAAACATTATATGCTTCCTGAGGAAAAAGACAGTTATTTGAAACACACTAAATTATTGCCATATATATTCTAAGTTTTTGTATAAATGATGATTAAATTAAGTGAAACTGTAATATTGTATGCATATAAAAAGTAGCAGTTTCAGCTATTGTAATGTCAACACTAAGGCAATTTTCATAGAACTGTACTTTGACATTAGTAATCCATGTAAGATGTATATTAGAACCAGAATATTTGAATAATGAGAACATAATAGTCCCAGCCAATCCAGATAACAGAGAACTGCTTGTAACAAAGAATAATAAGTTTATAAGTAAACATGGAGTGAAGATGATTTCACTTAAAATTATGTGCACATGAAAAGATAAAATCCAAGATATAAACGAGCTGACATCTGAATAATATATCTGTAAAGTGCTTAAATAAGCCAGACAATTTTGAAGATATAAGTACAAAATAGTCAAGGTAAATTGTTAAAAATTGTAGAAAACACTCATACAACTAGTGTGAGGTGTATTATTCCAATTATAGATCTCTCTACAAGGTCATTGTCATATGTTTTAATTAAAAATATACAAACTGATTTTTATTTATTATTATGACTATAGCTATTTTGCTTTTAATTCTACCTGAACAGGTGGGAAAAATCTTGAGCCTCATTGTGTTACCAACAAGGTTTAGTTTATGAACAAAAAATCTCTTCATAGGAGCTGTTGTTGCCTGGCAACATCTGGAGAAAGCTATCTATGGAGCTAGTGAAAACACCAAGTACAGCATTGTCTGTTAAGGGCCCATTATATTTTATATTTTCTGGATAGGTTTGCAATGCAGCCTGTTTTCATAGCATAATTTCAAAATCTAGGCAACAATATTTTAATTATTAAATTTCAATAGGATTTAACTTCTCCTTAAAAGATGCAGGGAGAGTATCCTCTGTAATTTTATTTAGCTCTCTTTAATTCTGTAAAATAATCTAAATATTAGTTTTTACAAATCCACTTTATGAAAATACCATTTGCATTGAAATTCAGAAAGCTTAAGAACCCAACTCAAGTTTTATGCATTGTCACAATAGAAAATAAAATAGAGATACCTTTTCAAAAGCATTTAAATCCTTAGAATTAGAAAGTCATGAGGGACCTTGAGAGATTAATTAACTCATCCTTTAGCCATCTGGTATTAATACATACGCTGTTCTATACAGATGAGAATTCACCCTCTTTCCATGAAGAGAACACATAATCTCGTTTTAAAATCTACTTTAATAACATTCTTCACACAAAATTTTCATAGTAACATCTTATAATAACTAACCACAAATCTAGAAATGCAAATTTGTTTTTGTGCTTCCACGTTCTTATTGCATATCATACACGACATTTGCCTCGAAGGCAAATGAAGGGCTTCATAGAAAAGAAATGTGGTGCGGCAGAGAGTATTTAAAAGATATGTTTCTTCTTCTCCCTGGACACAGAGCCAGGTTATGTTGTTAGACTCTATTGAAGTCAACTGTAAATATGTGACTCAGTTGTAAGCAGGAATGAGAACAAAAACGATATGTGCAGCACCAGGGTGAGGCCATAACCTCCCACCACCGCCGCCCCCTGTTCCTTTTCTCTTAACTGACTTGATGCAGATGAGCTTGTTAATCTTGTAAGTCATGAATTGAAAATGGCAGAACCACGTGATTGAAGAAGACTGGGTTCTTTAATTACCTTGTATAGGAGAGTTGCCTTACCATGCAGGGATACCTGTTTGAGGCTTCCCATGAGCAATAAATGAACTGCTGTGTTAAGCAAGTGAAATTTCAGGAATTTATCTTGCACAATATTTACCTTAGTGTGATCTTATGTAATAGCTGCAGAGGGGACTTGGACAGAAGAAAACCTTAGTGGGGAAGGGAATTAGGACGAAATGGTGTGTAGCACAGCATGAGAAAGAAGCAACAGCAAAAAAGCAAAAGACATATGTTTAGAGTTCCAGGTAGTCTGACTGTACAATTAGACAGCTGTAGAGAATAATGAAAGACACTAATAGTATGAAGTCTATTGGGGTCATATTTTGGAAGGGTTCAAGGATAAGCTGAAGCCTTTGACTTAATTTTGGACATAATAAAAGGAAATAAGCTCGTAAGCAAAAAACAAAACAAAACAAAACACAATTTGAATTGTAGTATAAGCCCATTAATTTAACAGCTAGGAAAAATATGGTTTGGAAGCAGGGAGTAACAAAATCTTCGGAATAACACCTACAGAGTAGAGCCGTATAATGTGAATATACCAGGGAAAGAATAATGGCATTGCATAGTTGAGATTTATAAACTTGGCAGTTGATTAGATGTGATGGTACAGGAGAAGTAACAACAATGTCAATAATTCTATACTCTGATCCTCATTTTTTTTACTATAAACTAGGCACTATGCTAACCATTTTATGAGGGCTATCTCCCTTAATCTTTACAACACTGTAAAACAAGTACTATGATTGTCCCTATTTCCAAGAAAGAATATAATTTGAGAGATTTCATATATAAGCAAAGGTCATACTCCCTGTAATGGAACAACCAGATTTGAAACCAAAAATGTAATGTTAGACCCTTGATTTTTAACAGCCATCATCTCAAATCCAGGTTTTGAGAAGGATAGTAAACAATGTAAAGATACATGGAGAAAAGAGGGCAAATTCAACTGATATCTCTTTGCTTCAGTAAATTTTTAGACTGATATAATTTCAAACTTATACAAAAGTTTCAATAGTACAAGGAACTCCAATATACCCTTTGCCCAAATTCACCAGTTTTTTATACCCCCCCAACGCACATTCCATAAAATGACTTTTAAAAATTTGTTAATAGTAGAGTGAAATGGCTCTACTATATTTACATATTGACTCCAGAAGCCAGTTGGAATTTTCAACTTGTGACTGACCTTTCAGAAAGAGTTCAGGGCTGGATGTAATTGTATGGAATGAATTGTATGGACAGAGATTGGTAAAATCAATAAAATCAATCAGAGCCTTAAGTGAGAGGATAAAAAAGGACAATTCATTAGAAATGGGATAATCCTGTGTAATAGATGTCCAGAGAGGAGAAAATTTCAGAGGTATAGTTGTAAGATCAAAAGTTTCAGAAAGATTAAGAGATCTGGAGAAAGGTTGGATTTAATATTTAGAAGGTTTTCAGTGACCTTCAGCCCAACATTTGTGGGTAGCATACTGAAAAAGAAACCTAAATTCCAAAGGGTAAGGAGAACAATTAGTCAAGAAAATAAAAATAAATGTAAGAAAAAAATTGCTCATGTGTTAATAATTAACACATTTTACTTTATCTTCGCTTTTTTGCTATTTATACACTTTGTTTAATTTACTATGCTTCTGAGTCAACTGTTTAAAAAAAATACAGTGGTGTAGCCAAGCAGAAAGTTAGAGGATGGAGTGTAAAGTGGTAGCCTATCTAGTGATTGTTCATTCCATCTTCTCAGGGCCAGGTTGAAGGAAAAGGGGAAGCTGCTTCTTTCTGGAAGAACACAGAAATCTGTGATGCCCCACATACCCTCACGATGGTGGTGCAAAAGCTGCCAATTGAGCAAATTGTACCATGAGTATGTTCACCCCTGCTGAATTAGGTAGAATGGGGTTTGGCTCAGATACTTTACTACTTAGATACTAAAATAAATAACGGTACTTTAAATGTGAGATATTTTCTGGATATTTGAAAAACACATGTAAACATGTGTGGGTGTATGTCATAAATATATATGGATGGGTGTTCATACTTCACCTTGTATTGTGCATGACTCAGGTTTAGAGAAATATTGTGTTTCTACTTCTTTACTCAAAGTCAGTGAGCCTATTCTATGACTTAGATGAACAAATTCAATTTAATTGGAGGAATTTTATAATTTCAGTGGGCAAGTTTAATTTCCCTTATAAATATATTTACCTGTATTTTGATTACTACAAAGGTAGTGGAGGAAATATTTGTATGTAATTCCTAGCTTTGTTGTGAGGTTAAAGACATCACATTTTGGAACAGTGTCTTCTGTCACTCCCACTTCATGGAAATCTTGTTTCTTTTTGTTTGTTTGTTTTTGTTTTTGATTTTTTGTTTTTAGCCTGTTTCACTTTTGTCTCCCAGACTGGAGTAGTGCAGTGGCACGATGTCAGCTCACCACAACATCTGCCTCCCAGGCTCAAGCGATTCTCCTGCCTCAGCATCCCGAGTACCTGGGATTATAGGCACGCATCACTACTGCCAGGCTAATTTTTGTATTTTTTTTTAGTAGAGATGGAATTTCATCATGTTGGCCAGGCTGATCTTGAACTCCTGACTTCAAGTGGTCTGCTCGCCTCAGCCTCCCAGAGTGCTGGGATTACAGGCGTGAGCCACCGCACCCAGCAAAAACCTTGTTCTTTCTATTTTACTTGATTTGAAACATATTTTAATTGAGGAGCATCATAAGCTTAAGAATAAATTATATGCTACTCATATTGCTGTTACCAGTGGTGCCTGACTTGCAAGCACATTCATTGAAGGATAATCTGCTTTGCAAAGAGGAACCAGTTAAAACTTGGATTATATTTGTTCAAATTGACACACATCAATGTTTTCTCTACTGTGTGTTAATCTCCCTTTTCCCCCAATAACATGGAATCCATACAAATTATACAATTATTATTTTTGTATTTTTTGAGTTTAGATGTGTTACAATCGTGATTTTGAAGGGATATCAAGAAGTCGTTTAAATTAACACTATAGTAGGCTGGCTGGAACCATCCCATAAAGCAATGGAATATGGAATGTCTCTCATGGATGCACGGAGAGGGAAAAGGAGAACATATCCTTTAGCAGATTTTCCTCCATCATAGCATAAATCTGGAGCTCTCCCATTAAGAAAGAAAGAATATTAGTATTACCAATTACCAAACACAGTGTCTTGAGCATGAAAGGTAATCCTTTGCCTTTGTAGAATCAGTATTTGTAATTGTATCTGCTTCTTTGTTTGAAAATATGGCTAGGAAAAGAAAATGCCCCCTAGGGAATTGACTAGGTTTTTTTTTTTTTTTTTCCCCCCAATTTTGTTTTCCTCCTCTCCTTTTTCCACTTCCCTCAGTCCCGTTCTTCCTTCCTCAGTATTTCTCTTTACTTATGATATTTCCCCCCATTTTTATGAAATAGGCACCTTAGTATGAGGATGGATCAGTGAGCCTAAGCTACCTTTGTCCTGTGCATTGAGGCATGGACAAATTTTTGGTCTTTCCTGTTGATTATAGTCTTGTACATTGAAGTTATGAGTATGACTACTGCATATTAAAGCTTTAAGACATGAACTTTTATAGAAAAATCTCTATATCACTCTATTTTAAAAATGTATTTTAACAAATATCAAAACCAATTATAAACAATTGACAAGAATACAGAAAACTTTATTATTAGTTAAAATTTTAAATATATTTTAAACCACATTTATTTGCAAATAAATTTTATTGTTTGATCAACTTGCAGATAAAAAGAATGGTAAATAAAATATTTTAATATAAAACATTACATCAATAATACTATATATAATATTGTATTACATCTGACTGTAAATTGTGAAAACAGGTTAGGTGTTACTGACTCCATAAGGCATAATGGTTGATGTCAAATAATCAAACTATAGTTTGTTTAATAGTTTCCTATTGGTTTTAAACTCCCCAGGGTTACAACATTTACAGAATATTTATTGTAAAGTGCCAGGTTACCTGATAATACCATGTTAAAATTCTGCTAACATCCCTTTCACGCAGAGACTCTTAATGGGATTAACATATGTCACAATTCAAAAACCTAAACAGAATTCTATTTAAACCTACTGGTTTTGAAAGAGACAGTGTTCAGGTGTTTATTTGTAGCACTTCTGGGAGTAATGCCAAACCCCAAGAACATTAGTATTCCTGAAACTTTACATTCTCTTCCTATAAATTGTTCTTCTGGAAAAGGTAAAATAGTATTATGTGATTAGACTACACATAGACATAACTGTAATGACTTATTCACAGATGAGAAAAAAAGTGAGTGAGCTGTTAAAAAAAACATTACAAATAAAGGGGAAACATGACATTATTTTGTTTACTGCTTAGTATGTATATTTCAGCATGAATTTGCTGCCCCCATGATTCAAATACCTAGATTAATATTAATAATAGCAGGAATAAGTAAAATATCACATCTTATATGTCAGATGTTTTTCACATACATAGCCTCTTTTATCTTCATGAAAACTAAGCAGTGTAAGTATTATTAGTTCCATTTTCAGATTGACAAAATGAATTTTAGTCAGGTTAAGTAATAAGTTCAAGGTAAGTAGTAAAACATCCTGCATTGCTTACCTGTATAACTTTACAACCTGAAATGTTTTGTTTATTATAAACTTTAAATAAGTATTCTTTAAATAACCATATAATGCCTGGAAAGTAAATTAAACCTGTTGCGCATGGTATAAATATTAACCGTCTTGAACTACAAGGCTCACCCAGAAGGACAAGGAGGTTAAAATTTCTAATTTGAGTTTCTATGAAGTGGATGTCCAAAAGGAATAAAATAATTGGGGCTGAGATACATAAGTAGAGAAATAAAGAGAGGTGGAAAAACTAGATATTTCAATGAGATTGAAGAATGGGTGTTCTGGAAGACTGAACATTAATGATTTTAGGTGCTAGAAAATTGATTGGATTGCATTGTGTGTACATTACCAGCCATATTGGTGGGTAGAAAATTGAGGAGATAGATAAATTGAGGAGATAGATAGATGCCCATATTTTTACATTATATTCTCCTTATAGCGCATTTAATTTTGCACATTTGGAATTTTTTTAAATATCCAAATTAAGGATACTTTCTCAACGGATATTTTTCTCATTAGACTCTAAACTGGTCATAATTTCTGACCCATTGTGCCTGTGTGTTTGTGCAAAGTTGTGTTTATGTATGCTCATGTTTAATTGAAGCACTGAGTTGTGTTATTCTTCTTTTTCATATTTTTTCCAGTGCTTGAGACTTACTATTTGAAGTCTGATAGTATGTTGCAAAGTATGATTTTAATAAACCATAACCTAAAGGACAATTTCAATGGTTATAAAAGACACAGGGAGAAAAGACAGACTTTTGTGCATGGAGAAGGAAGTTACTATTTTTGAAAATCATACAGGTTGATGTATTTTGTTTGATAATAGATTATTTGTCTGAAAATAGGGTATGTTTTTATTAGTCAGTAGTGGAAGCAGAAGAAATCCCTAATTAAGTTTCTAGATTCTCAAAAGGAGTAAGAATAGTAATGGCATTTAATAAGAATCTATTTTCAGATAGATGCTAGTGCTCTGCACTTATTTAATTTACTTATCACATCAACTCTACAAATTAAGCATTAATAATCCCTTTTTACATATTTGCAGAAAAGGTTGATAAGGTTAAACAAATTTCCAAATACAACTTAACTGTTTTTTTATAAAGACAGAGTTTGAAGCATAGTTTTTTGCTTGATTACAGTGATGAGTAAATACATTCTTTCCTTTTCTCTCTTTTTCTTAATATATAGAGTTTGGTTTTGAGCGTGAATATTCTTAAGTTCTGCAATTCAAAATTGAGACTTCAAAATTTGTGTTTCTAAAAATATTCTTATTTTATTTTAATACGTAATCAGGAGTTTTCTAGGCATAGTAATAGATTGACCATTGGTTAAATTAAGCTAATAATCACTCAAGGTGGAAAAAAGTTTTTTAAACCCATATTATATTCAAGTTGACTTGTAATTGCATCTTCTTTCCTTGCACTTCAGTAAAGTCCTAATAAATGCATTTTGGAAATGGATTTCCCTGAAGAGCTATTTTCATTCATTTGTCTGTCTCACACACACAAAAAAGCAGACAATATTCAACTTAAAACATCTGCTTCATGCTGAAGATAAAATTTAGTCCAATAAATGTTGCTGTTTTGCACATCTGAGAATTTTCCTGAATGAATTCCAGAGAATTAAGGATACTTTCCCAACAGATATTTTTCTCATTAGACTCTGAACTGGTAATAATTTCTGACCCACTGTGCATGTGTGCGTGTGCAAAGGTGTGTGTGTTTGTGTGTGCATACATAAATCTTTCACTAATGGGTTATTGAACCTTTTTATATTGCAGATTATTTGATTTGTTGATATGTTTTTTACTTTGCTAGTAATCACTAAAGACTCTTAAACCATTGCAATAACAAAATAATTATTTCCTGACCTGCAATTGTGCTTTTAATCTTTTCAGACAATGGAGTTTTGTTGTTATTATGCTGCTCTAGCTTTTAGCTTGTCTTGAAAGCAGGATGATTCATTTTCGTTTTTCACTAGCATGTTTTTCTTTATTCTTCAAATACAGTTTTAAAATTCAGTCAAAGAATATTTCAAGCATGTTACAAAGGCACTCAAGCGACAATTAAATTTAAGAGGTTTAAAAAGGTTTAATCAGTGAAGTATCTAGAGAAATAAATCTTACGGGGTTCCAGAAGGTTGATGAATCATTGTGAAGGCATTAACACCTGTTTTCACTCTATGTGTAAAGTGTCCCTGCATTTGTTCTGTATTTGCTGAAGGCAAGAACAGATATATATATATTTGTATCCTTTTTGCAAGGAAAAATAGCCTCAGGAATATTATCAAAATAAAATATTATCAAAGGCAAATTTAAGCCATGTGCAGTGGTGCATTGCCTGTAAGCTCAGCTACTGGAAAGGCCGAGATGAGAAGACTCTTTGAGCCCAGGAGTTTGAGGCCAGCCTGGGCAACATAGCAAGGTCCTGTCTCAAAAAAAAAAATGTGAGATTAGTACTCAGACATAGTTTAGTTTTCCTTTCTATGGGGAAAATAACTCATAGGTATGTTATGTAGACCATCATTTCAGCTACTTTTCACTTTATGGGCAATTAACTTTTTTTCTTTTCTCAGCATTTTCTCTAAATAATGTTCATTTTAAACATATTTTTCAGAATATGTCAATAAGCCCATGGTAACAGTTATGTATACTCATTGACATTAAAGCAAGGATTCTGCTTGATAAAGCAGTATTTTTCAGTTTAAAGAAAATTAAATGAAATAAATAAGAAATTTTAAAAACATAGGATTCATGTTTTGTTTCAGAAAATCCATAAATTCAGTTAAATAATTAATTTTATCCAGGGTACCTTAAAAGTGACCATAAGTAAATAATATTATTATAGCAAAAGTAGAACTTTTCCAAACCAACAATCTATCACAACACAGGCCAGGAATTTGTATGGGGGAAAATAAGAACTTAATAATAAAATAAGTATCTAAATTATAGATGCTTTTCATAATTTTTAGTTAAGAACAAAATTCTATATGGGCCCTGTCAAGTACTCACTACTTTTAATATTTGAGGAAGACTATGTAATATACATGTTAAATATATATTTTATGCCATCTAATTTTGCCATTGATCGTTAGAGGAACAGAAAGCAACATATCAAGATTACATTTTCTAGTATTGTGTATATTCATCACTTCATCTTGTTTCTCCCAATAATTGTTGTCTTGAGTTACAAGTAAATAATTATAATTAAGAAATTAAAATTATTTCTTGAGAATAAAATTGATTTTTAGTGAAAACATATATAACAAAAACTGTAAAAATTCAGAATACAGAGATACGAATGCCAGCTAAGAAAATGGGGGCATACTATTTCAAATAAGATAACATTTGAGCTGGGCTTTAAAGGATAGATGGAGATTAAGCAAATACATATTTAAGACAGGGTATTCTAGATGAAGAGAATGGTACAAACCATATAATAGAGAAAACACAGATTGTTCTTTGTGAATGGTATATGTCTAATTTGGTTCTAATACGAGATAATAAAAGCTTATGGAAGAAAACAAACTGAAAAGCAAATTTGGGATTAGACAAAAAAAAGTCCAAGTGATTTTTTTATTTTGGAAACAAGAAAAATTATTTGAAAATGTAATCAGTGAAGTCACACTATTCAAATGCTGATATTTAATCTAGGATCACTTTCTATGATTAATTGAAGAGTAGAGAAAGAGAAACTAGTCATGGAACTATTGCAAATTTGAGGTATGATTGTCTGAATAAGATGGTTGCTGTGTAAACGCAAATGAGAAAACAAACAGAAAAATATTATAAAAAGAGAAAAAGAACTTTGATAGTGAAGAGAAAAATAAAAAAAATGAAGACTAAAAGAAAAAAACGTGTATCAAAAGTTGTTCTGGTTAGGTAATTTCACTTCAGAAAGTATGGACTAAAAATCCACAATTCAGTGTAAAACATTCACCACATTATTTATATTGTGAAATATTAAAAACCAACATAAATGGCCAAAATAGAAATGGCTACATAAAATATATGCTGGATGATAACAAAGATGTAAAAATGGACATGGACGGTTGTGGGGTGGGGGGAGGGGGAGGGATAACTTTAGGAGATGTACCTAATGCTAAATGACGAGTTAATGGGTGCAGCACACCAGCATGGCACATGTATACATAAATAATTAACCTGCACATTGTGCACATGTACCCTAAAACTTAAAGTATAATAATAATAAAATTAAATTTAAAAAAAAAGACAAAAAAAAAAAAAATAAAGATGCAGCCAAGGGAACTCACCACCAGGAAAAAAAAAAAAAAAAAAGAAACTTTATCCAATAACTTTATTCTTGCCATATAGATACATCTTTATGTAATAAGCCTGATAATACAGTCTTATAATAACTGTTTTTTTTAAAAAATGCATGTGAAACATAGAAAATAGTAAACTTGATTGGATTTATGTGATGGGCCATAGTTATTTTTGTTTGTTTTCTCTTTGTCCAGGAAGTCTCAAAATTGTTTACATTGAGCTTATATTGTTTTTTATAATAAACATATTAATGAAATTTGTATTTAAAAAGCATTTGAGGAGATTTCCGGTTTCAGGTCCATTGTGTAAAGAGTATGGAAGTTGTCTCTCCTGTCCTTAAAACAAGAGAAAGCAGAATAAACTAAAAATCAGTGGCTTTTCTTGGATCCATCAGAGAAAGAAGTAGTAGGGCAATTTGTCAACTGAAGCCTGGAGAGGTAGGTGTGTACGTAGACTCACAGCCGATATCTACCTAAATGGAAAGAAATTCCTGGAGCCACAGACTGTTCTTACTACCGGAAAAAAAAAAGATAAATAAAAAAGCAAGAGAATGCTGTCTTAACAAACAAAATAATCATCAGAACCAGGCTCAGATATAACACAAATGTAGAAATGATCAAAAGTAGAATTTAAAATAAAGATGATTAATATGTTAAGGATTTTAATGGAAAAAGTAGATATGTGTATTACACATATGAGTAATGTAAGCAGAGACATGGAAACGTAAAGATGGAATCAAAAGGAAATGCTAGATATCAAAAAAGTTGTAATGAAAATTAAGTTTATCTTTCTTGAGCTTATCAGTAGACCGGACACAGCCATGGAAAGAATCAGTGATCCTGAAAATAGGTCAATATACACGTCCCAAACCAAAATGCAAAGAAAGAAAAGAGGTGGGGGAAAGAACACTTTAGAACGTGGGGTAATTTCAAAAGGTGTAAAGTAGGTGTAATTGGATTACCTGGAAAAGAAAATGAGGAAAGAGCAGAAAAATATTTGTAGTAATAATTGCTGATACCTTTCCAAAGCTGATGAGAGACATCAATCCACATATCCACTAAGCTCAGGAAACATCGCAAAATAAATATTTTAAAACAATAATCACCACAAGGACAAACAAAGGCATATAATCATCAAGCAGCAAAACTGAAGACAAGAAGAAAATCTTGAAAGAAACCAGAAGAAAAATCATTTAACCTATAGAGAAACAAGAATAAGAATTACAGTAGACTTCTCTTCATATACCACTTAAGCAAAAAGAGAGTAAAGTGAAATATGTAACGTGTTAAAAGGAAAAATAAACATTATTCTGGAATTTTATATTCAGTAATTTATACTGCAAAAGTAAATGTAAATAAAAGTATAAAGATTGTAGCAAACAAAATCTCATGAAATTGAACACCAGTAGGCATGACATGCAAGAAATCTTAAAATATGTTTTCAGAAACATGAAATACAATATAGCCAGAGTTCAAATCTATATGTAAAAAGAAAGCATGTTGGATAAGGAATAAATGAAGTAAAATAGAATATTTAATTGCTCTAAAAATAGTGTTTGTTTGGAGTAACAATACTAACATTCTATTCAGTGATTATAGCATGTACATACATGAAGTAAATAACAGCAATACTTTAAGAGATGGAAGGAAGTAGTGGAGAAGTCTGTTATAAGGTATTTGCACTACACTGGAAGTGTTATACTGTCATTGAAGGTGAACCTATAATAGCTTAAAAATATTAAAAAGAAAACACTCAAGTTTTTTTAAAGACATAAAACAAGGAAATATATAAAATGCAGTAAAAGATGCTCAACTAAAAGGTGAAAGAATGAGAAGCAAAGAACAAATGCAACAAATAGAAAATGGTTACAAATATAGTTGATATTAACACAACTATATCCATAACCACATAAATGTTAATTGTCTAAGTATACAAACTAAAAGACAGATAATAGAGTGGATAAAAAATAATGCAACAACCATATGATCTTTATGGCATGTTTACATTAAACATAAATACTCAGATATGTTAAAAGGGATGAGAAAGATATATCATGCTTACATGAACAAATCCTAAATGCATATTGCTAAGTGAAAGAAGACACTCTGAAAAACCTATCTACTGTATGATTCCAATTATAAAGTATTCTGGAAAAGGGGAAACTATAGAGGGGGTAAACAGATCAGTAGTTGCTAGAGGTTCAGGATGGGATAGAGGGTTGAACAGGCAAAGAGCAGGGACTTTTTTTAGGGTGGCAAAAATATTTTCTTTATGGTACTGTAATGGTAACTACTTGACAACATGTGCTTATCAAAATCCATAGAATTTCACAATGCAAAGAGTGGATCTTAACTTATACAAATTTAAAAATATTTAGGAGGCCAAGAATCCCAGGATAGAATACAGAATATGATGAAACATTAACTATATTGCAAATATATGAAAGACTGCACGAAAGTGGTGGGAAAATATAGTGTGGACCTAACTGTGGAAGTGAGTGCACTCTGTAAGACTGAAAGCAAAAGGACTGTACAGGTATGCTCTGTGATCTACCTGATAAACCTCTTTTTAGTGACAGTATGGGTTATTTCTCAGACTACTATTCATAAATACTGGACTTGAAAAATTAAGTAAATAGATGGCCAATGGTGGCAGCCAGATTTCTTCCTGTTGGAAGAGGAATTTGCAAATAAATAAACTAGGGAGGCTAAAATAATCTATATGGTAATGGATTGGACTTAGAAAGCTAAATATGAACTCATGTTTAATGTAAAATAGATACGGAACATTACATATAGAAAAATTTATAGATATGTTGATATATATGGGCTAATATTTGCATGTATTATTCCTTGCTTTGTTCTCTAAGAGGGCCTAGAACCAACAACATCTCAATAGTGAGTATACCAACTCCTACTCAAATTAGATATTGATTTCTAATACTATATTCCAATAAAAGAAACTAGACCTCTTTGAGAAATGGCTGATTCTAAGACTGGGGCAGGAAATACTGAAAAAATGAATCTAGAGCACCTTAGTGAGAGCAAGTAAGAAAGTGCTCAGAAAACACCACAATGATGGAGAATGCAAATATATGTCAGAAGAACACAGGAGCCAACTGAAAATGCCTTCAATGACCCAAAATGGTCCAATTTGAGCATCAGAATAAATAAAATATTATTTTATTATAACCTAATGATACAGTTTGGCTGTGTCCCCACCCAAATCTCATCTTGAATTTCCACATGTTGTGGGAAGGACCTGGTGGGAGGTAATTGAGTCATAGAGTAGGTCTTTCCTATGCTGTTCTTGTGATAGTGAATAAGTCTCATGAGGTCCAACGTTTCTATAAGGGGGAGTTTCCCTGCACAAGTTCTCTCTTTGCCTGTCACCATCCATGTTAGACTGGACTTGCTCCTCCTTGCCCTCTGTCATGATTGTGAGGCCTCTCTGGCCATGTGGAACTGTAAGTCCATTAAACCTTTATTTCTTCCCAGTCCCAGATATGTCTTCATTAGCAGTGTGAAAACCGACTAATACACCTAATGTATAAAAATAAGTATCTGTGGTTTCATATTTACATAAATAATCAAATAAAAATAGAGAAGAAAAATAAAAGAATAGAAAAACCTGCCTTGCAGGAAAATTCCAAATAATTTATGTAGATACTCTTTAAGACAGCACAGTGCACACTGACCTTCTTCCATATAGTATGTATAGAAAGAGGGAGAGGGAAATACCATTACAGTGAGGAAATCTGACAAACACTACTTCAGCTGGTGAGCAGGGTTTACATTAACCTTTATACTGAAATACTGAAACATTAACCTTTATACGTACCATTCACACGAGTGATAAGGCTCTGTGGTTTTCCTTGCCAAAACCCTCAACCCCACTATAATCATAAGAAAATCACCAGACAAATCATAACGGTTGGCAAAAATCAATATTTCTCAAAATTGTCAAGGTCATCAGAAACACAAAGAGTTTATGAACCTGTTGCTGTCAAGAGGAGACACAACAACAAAATCTAATGTGGTGTCTTTTGATAAGAGCCTGGATTAGAGAAAGAATAGTAGGTGAAAACTAAGGAAATCTGAGTGTCATGATCAACGTTACATGCTAACTTGCCTGGGCCATGGAATGCCCAGACATTCCATGCTTAACATTTGGCTAAACATTATTCTGGGTGTGTCTGAGAGGGTGTTTCTGGAAGAATAAATTTTGAATCTGTATACTGCATAAAGTTAATGTATGTGGGCTTCATTTAATTAATTAAAGGCGTAAAAAAACAAACAAAAAAAGCCAATTAAGAGGAGATTCCTCTTGCCTCACTCCCTTGAGCTAAGACATTGGTCTTTTCCTGCCGTCATTCAAACTAGAACATCAATTCTTCTAGCATCTCAAGATGACAGGCTTTTAGACTGGAACTTATACCATTGCCTCTCCTCTTTTCAGGCCTTCCTACTTGGAGTAGAACTATAGGACTCCTTCATCAGAACTTCTGCATCCCCATTTTGCTGAATATAGATCTTGGAACTTCTGGGACTTCTTAGCTTCCATAATTATATGAGCCAGTTCCTTATAATAAGTCTCTCCCTCCTCTCTCTCTCTTTCTTCCTCTCTCTCTCTCTCCACACACACACACACGCACACACACGCACAACCAGTTATATGTATATGTGTGTGTGGCTTCATATGCATATATGTGTGTGCATGTGTGTATACACATAACTGATTGGTTTTGTTTCTTGAAGAACCCTAATGCAACAAGCGTGTATCTAGCCGTAATGATTTATTAGCTGATAAATGTACCAGAACAATGTAAAACATTAGTAATTGAAAATCTAGGTGTTAGGCATTTGGAAACTCTCTGTACTCCATATAAATAAATAGCCTTGCAGTTATTTCTGTCTATATAAAACTATTCTAAAATACAAATTTTATTTTAAAAATAAGTTGATACCAGCTTTTGAGCCTGAGTAAATGTTTGTGACATTTGCAGAAATTGAGGAGTTGGTATTTTTAAAAAGAATTAGAGTGTACACAATATATATTTCTCTATGTTCTCTGTATTGTCTCTTTGCTTCAGTTTTATGTAGTTAACTCATTTTAGGTAACATACCACATAAATATTTTCTTTTGGCTTCACATACATATTTAAGATTTTATATTTTAATGTTCAATTTCATTTAATGTGTAATTTAAAAATCTGCCTCTAATTATTTTGAAGCAATTAGGATACTGATATAAATAAATAATATTGATTAACAAAAGGAAATTGGGCCCATGTCAGTTTTGATCCATCTGAATGCCAAAATAGCACTGATCTTCCCTATTGACAGCAACTTTACTGCAAGGACATATTTAGTATAAGATGAGGTGATAAAACACTTATTTTTAAATATTTCCTGCCCCAATCTTAGAATTTAGAGGCATGCAAAATAGTTTATGTATTGAGCTGATAGGGTTTAAAGTATCTTTATTTCTTTTTACTTGCACAATGCATTACAAACAAAATAATTTGAAAATTTGTATATAACAGTTAAGTCTTGTGTACTTCGGCAGTTTAAGCATTTAAAAACAAAGTGGATTTAAAAGAAAGAGACTCTAGCTCTGCTCATCCTGCTTAAGTGAGTGGATGTGATTATAACCTCTGACATAAACCTGTGAGGTAATCAAGCCTGGGAAACATTTTGAGGTACTTTTACTCCAGTTCCTCGACTCATTACAGCACTGAGAATCCAAGCTCCGCAAGCACACTCTGATTGGTCCTAGGTGGTCCAGACGCTCTTAGCAGCAGTTGGTACCTTGATCTGAAACTTTGTTTTATTCCACTATTCAATCAGCCGCTGCTGCTCAAGCTCATGCTTTCTTCTGTCAGCTCTACAGGCCAGTGAATCACTGGTACGTCACCATTCCTGCAACCAAGGAGAAAGGAAATGACGTTCCTTTATGCAGTTGTTATACAACCAACTTGGGACAAGTTTGAGGGAGTGAGTCCAAACATTTAACAGTTACAATGTTATTTTTTGGTCAAATCACTAGGACCTGCCAGAAACTACTTAGTGTCCTGGGAACTTCATGGTCTCCTACCTCAAGATAAATTCCCTGTCTTTTGTTAATTTTTATTTATTTATTTATTTATTTTTTTATTTTATTTTATTTTTTTTTGAGATGGAGTCTTGCTCTGTTGCCCAGGCTGGAGTGCAGTGGTACGATCTTGGCTCACCGCAACCACCGCCTCCGGGGTTCAAGCGATTCTCCTGCCTCAGCCTCCCGAGTAGCTGGGACTACAGGTGTCCACCACCACGCCCAGCTAAGTTTTTACGTTTTTAGTAGAAATGAGTTTCATCGTGTTAGCCAGGGTGGTCTCGACTTCCTGACCTTGTGATCCATCCGCCTCAGCCTCCCAAAGTGCTGGGATTATAGGCATGAGCCACCACGCCCGGCCAATTCCCTGCCATTTTGAGATATTTTCCAGATAATTTTGGTACTACCTCAAGGGATTGGTTATCATTTTTTCCTAGAAAACAGTGTCACAATTTGAACTTTTTATCTTGCTGTCTTTCAAAAAGTCACTCTGATTCAGAGATGAGTAGGCAAATTATTATTTCTTCCTCTCATTTTAAACCTCCCATGATGAATCAAAGACTAAGAATCAAATAACCGTATCATTGATATTTTCAATTATCTTTAGTATGAGCTTTAAAAACTTTATGTTGTTGTTCTTTATTTACAAATGTCATAGCCATCACAAGAAGAAAGAAGCAGCCTGGATGGCCTAATTACCACTTAAAAGAGAGCTCCCCTGATGATACGATGTCAATTAATGGACTTTGTGTAAGGGAACATTTTGCATATTTCTGCATGTCTTGTGACAGCTTTTTCACTATTCTGTCTTTTCGAGGATGTTTGTATAGCTAACAGCCTTGGAAGATATATTTCTCTTTTGAGCAGAAGGCAAATTTTGTTTTCTGACCAGTACAATAAAGATAATATCTGCTACTAAAGCAATAATATTTTAGTTGGGGTTCACAGCCTCCCTCAACAGATGGGGGCCTTGCTAAGCTTGGGGCTCCTCAGCTGTGACAGGAAACCATTGTATGCACAGCATCCACTCCATCAGCTCCACATGGCCCCTCCAGTGGTTGTGTAGCAGGGAGCACCCATGTGAACCTGAAGCTCATACTGCCTGCTGAACTGTGAGCGCTAATGTCTTCTGTCTATGACACAGGGAATATTTGTCCATCAGTAAGACCATGACATCCTCACTGGTTAGTTTGCAAGTACAGTAAAATCTCAGATCCCTAGCAATTTTTGACAATGTCTATAGGTTAAGCTACTGATGTCTCAGCCTTTGCTTATTTCTTCAGTATAGACTAATCTGTCATCATAAATATTTCCAGAGATCTTAACTTTAATATGTCCAGAATTGAACTCATATTTATTTGGTACCCCAAACCATTTTCCCTTCAAGTGCTCCCATTTCAGTAAATTTTACTCTGAATTACGTAGAGAAGAAACTTTAGAATGGTCAACCTGCACTTCTAATCAACTACTAAGTCTCATTCCTGCCACTACATACCAAGCAGATCACTATCATTCCTTACTTCCTGTATTATTCTCCTCTAATCTACTGGCAGACCACAGACAAATGTCAAAAGATCTAAGTATGTCACTTCCCAATTTAAAAGCTTTCAGTGGATTCCTGGTTGGCATTAGGTAAAATAACAATACTTAAACTTGGCTTCCAATGTTGCTGTTTCCACACCTAGTCTTGTGTCCAACCCTACCTTTTGTTCTCTCCTTCATGGACTCTAATCTCCAATTGTAATAAATTTCTGTGCATGAATCCAGTGTCTTTAATTTTACCCCTCATCACCTGGTCATTCTGTTCCCTTGGCATGAAACATTTTGTTTTCTATACTTTATCTGCCTAAAAATGATGTAGAACATACAAAGCACTGAAAAACCTCCCTGCCAACCAAGGAATGTATTAGATAATGTCAATAAGAAATAATTATTTAATGTTTCTGGAATTAATGCATTTTGAAATTTGCTTCATAAATTCATAGAAATTACTTTTTTCAAAACAAGCATCAATTTATGGTACCTAGAAACTACCCCCCTCACACACACATGCACACTAAGCCAGTGAGATGAACATTTGTATATCTGTATGAGTTGTGCATATTATGAATTCCTAGCAGTGAGAATGCAATTAATTTTGAAGGGTAAATAGAATTATGATTTGTTAATACACCTGCAATGGTAAGCAATGCTAAATTAAGATACAACTAATTTTGATTAGCTATATTAAAACTTGAGGTATTATGGAAATTAATGATAGCCATATTTCATTTGACATTTAGTTTAAATCGGGTACTGGACCAAGTTCTTCATACATGTTACCTCATTTAATCCTCATAACATTCACATGGGTGGATACTATTATTAATTAATTTTACAGATGGTGGAACTGAAGTTTAGAGGGTTTAACTTACCTAGTGTTTCTGAGCCAGATGGATCTCAGCAGAGAAAGAACCGTGGTCTTCAAATTCCAAAATAAGCCTCTTTACTCGACAGGCTCAACTGCATGCTATTAGTAGAGTGAAAATGAATGCACACAATGCCATCTTTGAAAGAGTGATAAATGTGATGAGTTAAAATAGTTTGTTTACCTGGAATTCCAGTATAACTGTCATCTTTAACATCTGTAAAGACATTAGTAAAAATGCCTGTGAGTTTGGATATCTGATTAAAATAAAAATTCTACTAAAGTGAGTTATTTTCACCAATATTACTAAAAAAGAAAGCTGAAGTCATGGAGTGTAACAGTCACAGGGCATTTTATATAAAGCTCCTCAGTTCCAAATCCTCAGGTCCTCAGGATGTGGGGCTATTCCATCGCCACTTACATTGTCCTATGGTGAGTTCTGCCCACACTACCCTGAAAACTCATAAAATCTAAAATCTTGGCCGATAAACATGTATATTGTTCAAAATAATTTGAATGGAAATCAATTTAGAGAATATTCACCTGTTAAGAATCAGGCCTTGAGATCTTATGGAAGTTATTAATCTTGGAGAACAAAGATATTGTCCTGTTGCTAAGTACATTGCCACTAGACAATTAGGAGTACTTCTTTACTTTATGAGACTCATAATGAGACTTTCTCCTCCAAGTCTTCTTGAAAAAACCTGTTATAGCCTTTTCAAAGAGAAAATTAATTCAAATTAAATTATATATGTATAGCTGAAATATGTTTGAGAAATCATCAAAACAATAATACATATTATTAAATTTATTATAACAAACTTATAAAAATTGCAATTTACAGAATTCACACTTACAGAGAGATATATGTCAAGTGATTACTACATAGAAGCAGGGGAGAACAGAGAGTGGGAGTAAAGCTCTAGAATTAGTCTGGCTAGTTCATCTGGGCAATACCACTTCTGTTCAATAATTTTGGAACAAGAATGATGTTATTGTCCTCCATAGAGGAGAAATGTAATCTCATAGGCCAATATCACTGGAAGCTGGTATGCAATTTCTACAGCAGACATTCTGCTCCAGGTTACCCATCTTATGGGAGTTCATTTTGGATCTCAGCACAAAGGGATAGATCTCTCCTTTGGTGGGTCTTAGGCCTTAATCAGTACTGTTCTACCAGAGAGGCAGCCGAAAGTTCTAATCTTTATTTCAAATTCTAAATGATCTGTTCTGAGATTTTCGTATTTCTGCAGGTAAAAAATAACCGTAAATACTAAACTTGCTTCCTTGGGTCTATATTCTCCTTCAAATCATGGCTTGCTACTATTTAATTTCCTGTTGATTCACTGATGTCTTAAAGTAAATGTTTGATATGTTACCCAGACTTTTTGGTTGTTTCTCACAATTCAAGGTAAGTTCCATATTATTTAGTTCAAAATTATACAATACAGAAGTCTTCATTTAATATTTTCAGAAATCTTAAGACTTAGAAATATTATTTTCTTTTGACAGATGAAAAACATAAGGATCAAAAAGAGTAATTTATCATTCTGAGATAATATATATATATCTAAGGTTATATAATTATTATATGATTATTAAGACTGATATTTAATAATTAATCATATTATTACTCCTAATACCACAGGGGGTGTACACCTACCTGTGATATTGTTCCTCATATCCAGGGATGGAGAGCATGATATTAGTTTTAATATCGCAGTAGGTGTACACTCACCCTGTGACACTGATCCTAATATCCAGGGGGGAGAGTATGACATGACTCCCAACATAGCAATGAATGTACAGCCACCTGGTGATATTGCTCCGAATATTCATGGAAGAAGCCTATAATATTACTCCCAATATCGCAGGGAGTGTACACCTCTTCTGTGATATTGTTCCTAGTATCCTGAAGGGGAGAGGATGATAATAATTCCAGTATCGCAGGCTGTGTTCACCCACCCTGTGATATTGATATGAATATCCTGAAAGGGAGAGGATGATATTACTCCCCCATAATAGATAGATGTTATTCCCCATAATAGAGTAGGAGGTGTACACCCACCCTGTGATATTGTTCCCAATATTCAGAGGCCAAGAGGTTGATATTACTCCCAATATCGCAGAAGGTGTACACCCCCGTGTGAGATGGTCCTTAATAATATTCCAAGGTGGAGGGGGTGATATTACTACTTATATCGCAGAAAGTGTACACCCCCCATGGATATTGTTCCCATGATCCTGGAGGGAAGAGGATGATATTACTTTAAATATCACAGAAGGTGGACTTGCCCCCACTGATATTGTTTCTAATTTCAACGTGGGAGAGGACGATATGCCACCCAATATCGCAGGGAGTAGAAACACCCCTGTGATACTGTTCTTAATATTCAGGGAGGAAGAGGATGATATTACACCCAATACAGCCGGGTGTACACCTTCTGTACACCGAGGGTGTAAACACATCTGTGAAATAGTTCATAATTTCCAGAGGGGGAGATGAGGCACCCCCCTGAGATATGGGGAGTAAGAGCCACCCCCTCTCCCCCTCTGGTTATTACGACCCACGGTGGACTCACAGCTTGTTTATGATATTGTGAGTAGTATCATCTCCCCCTCTGGAAATTATGAACTATTTCACAGACGGGTGTACACCCGTCTGTATTGGGAGTAATATCATCCTCTTCCTCCCTGAATATTAAGAACAGTATCACAGGGGTGTTTCTACTCCCTGCGATATTGGGTGGCATATACCCCTCTCCCACGTTGAAATTAGAAACAATATCAGTGGGGGCGTGTCCACCTTCTGTGATATTTAAAGTAATATCACCCTCTTCCCTCCAGGATCATGGGAACAATATCCCTGGGGGGTGTACACTTTCTGCGATATACGTTGTAATATCACCCCCTCCGCCTTGGAATATTATTAAGGACCATCTCACACGGGGGTGTACACCTCCTGCGATATTGGGAGTAGTATCAACCTCTCGGCCTCTGAATATTAGGAACACTATCACAGGATGGGTGTACACCTCCTACTCTATTATGGGGAGTAATATCTATCTATTATGGGGAGTAATATCATCCTCTCCCTTTCAGGATATTCATCACAATATCACAGGGTGGGTGAACATGGCCTGCGATACTGGCATTATTATCATCCTCTCCCTCTCGGGATACTAGGAACAATATCACAGAAGAGGTGTACACTCCCTGCGATATTGGGAGTAATATCATACGCTTCTTCCGTGAATATTCGGAGCAATATCACCGGGTGGCTGTCCATTCATTGCTATGTTGGGAGTCATGTCATACTCTACCCCCTGGATATTAGGATCAGTGTCACAGGTGAGTGTACACCTACTGCGATTTTAAAACTAATATCATGCTCTCCATCCCTGGATATGAGGAACAATATCACAGGTAGGTGTACACCCCCTGTGGTATTAGGAGTAATAATATTATTAATTATTAAACATCAGTCTTAATTATCAATGGTAATATTAATTAATAGTACAACCTTATTAATCATTAATGATTATTTTAAATATATGATTATGCATGATTTAAATTATTACTATTAAGGTCATTTTTCAATAATATTAGTTATTAATTTTAATATTAATTATTGTTTTATTACCAACATCACTTATGATTGATTTAAGTAACATTAATTACTGATATCATTATTTTATTATTAATAGTGATATTACTATTATTAGTAGTAATCATTAATATTTTTAGTCCATATTAACTTTTACTATCTCTATTGTAATTATTAATATCGATGATTACTATTAATTGTTATTATATTTATTAATATTAATAATTAATATAACTGTTCCCGATATCCGTGGGGGAGAGGATATTACTCCCGATATCGCAGAAAGTGTACACCCTTCTGTGATGTTACTTCTAATAGCTGGGGGTAGAGGATGACATTATTGAAAATATCGCAGTGGGTGTACATCCCTTCGGTCATCTTGTTCCTAATATCCTGGGTGGGAGCAGATGAAATGACTCCCAATATCTCAGGGGGCGGAGACCTCCCCCGTGATACTGTCCCTAACGTCCAAAGGTGGAGAGGATGGTATTTCTTCCAATTTCACAAGGGGTGCACACCACCCCTGTGATATTGATCCTAATATCCAGGGGGCAAGAGGATGATATTAGTCTCAATATTGCAGGAGGTGTACACTCCCTAGGGATATTGTTCCTAATATCCAGGGACGGAGAGAATGATATCACTCCCAATATAGCAGGGGGTGTACACCCCTTCTGTGACATTGTTCCTAATAGCCAGCGTGGGAGAGGAAGATATTACCCCCAATATCGCAGGCGGTGTACACCCCCTTGTGACATTGTTCCTTCTATCCTGGGAGGGAGAGGAAGATACTAGTGGCAATATCGCAGGGGCTGTACACACCCACTGTGATATTGTTTCGAGTATCCCGAGGGGGGAGAAAATGATATTATTCCCAATATCGCAGGGGGTGTACATCCTCCTGTGATATCGTTTCTTATATTCAGGGGGAGAGGATGATATTACTCCCAATATCTCAGGTGTTGTACACACCTCCTGCGATATTGTTCCTAATATCCCGAAGGGGAGAGCATATTACTCTCAATATCGCAGGGGGTGTACACCTCCTTTGGAATACTGTTTTTAGTATCCATGATGGGAGAGGATGATATTACTCTCAATATCGCAAGAAGTGTACAGCCGCCTGTGATATAGTTCCTAATATCTAGGTGGAGAGAGGATGATATTACCGCCCGTATTGCACGAGTTGTAAAACCTCTTCGATATTTTGCCTACAATCCCGAGGGGAGAGGACGATACTACTCCCAATATCGAAGGTGTACACCCCCCTGTGACTATTCCCAATATCCAAGTCGGGAGACGATGACATTACGCCCAATATCGCAGGGGATATACACCCACCCTGGGATATTGTTCCTTTTATCAAGAAGGGGAGAGGATGACATTACTCCCAATATCACAGGGGCTGTACACCCCTCCTGTGATATTGTTCTTAATATCCTAGGAAAGAGAGGATGATACTACACCCAATATCGCAGGGGGTGTACACCCACCTCCTTAAGATATTGTTCTTAATGTACTCCACCTCCCCCTACCAGGGATATTGTTCCTCATATCCAGGGGATGAGAGGATAACATTATGCCCATTATCGCAGGGGGTGTACACACCCTCTGTGATGTTGTTCCTAGTATCCAAAGGTAGAGACGATGATATTACTGGCCATATCGCAGGGGGTGTACACCCTTCTGTGATATTGTTTTTGATATTCGAGGTGGGAGAGGATAACATTAGTCCCAATATGGCAGAAGGTGTGCGGACCCCTGTGATATAGTGCCTAATGTACAGGCAAAAGAGAATAATATTACTCTCAATATCGCAGGGAGTGTAACCCCCTCAACCCCCCGTATATTGTTCGTAATATGCAGCGGGGTAGAAGCTGATATTACTCCCAGTTTCGCAGAAGGTGCACACACACCTGTGATATAGTTCGTAATACCCAGCGGGAAAGAGGCTGATATAACTCTGGATCTCGCAGTGGGTGTACACCCCCAACCCCCCCGGGGTATTGTTCCTAATATCCAGGTGGGAAGACGATGATATTGCTGACAATATCGAAGGGGGTGTACAACTCTTCTGTGATATGGCTTCTGATATCGAGGGGGTGAGTGGATGATATTACTCCCAATAACGTAGCAACTGTACAGCACCGTGTGATTTTGTCCTTAATAACCACATGGGGAGAAGTGATATTACTCTCAATATTGCAAGGGGTGTACACCCCACCTGTGACATTGTTTCTTATATCCAGGAAAGGAGAAGATGATATTACTACCAATATCGAAGAGATGTACAGCCCCATGGGATATTGTTCTAAATATACAGGTTGAAAGAGGATCAGATGACTCCCAAAATAACAAGGGGTGTACACCCCGCCTGTGATATGAATCGTAAAATTTAGAAGAGTGAATGACATTGCTTCCAAAAAAACACGGGGTGTACACCCCCTCTCTGATATCGTTCCTGTCATCTAAAGGAAGAGATGATGATATTACTCCCAGTACCGCAGAATATACACCCCCCCTGTGATATTGTGCGTCACAACTAGTGGGGGAGAGCATGATATTACTTCAAATATGACAGTGGCTTTACACCCCGTCTGTGATACTGCTCCTAATTTCCAGTAGCTAAAGTAAGATGTGCCTCCCAATAGAGTAGTGGGTGGACACCCGCCCTGTGATATTTCCCCGACTATTTAGGGAAACACAGGATGACATGACCCCAAATCCCGCAAAAAGTGAACACCCATTGTGTGATATGGTTCCTAATACGCGCAGGTGTAGAGGATGATATTACGTTTCATATCGCAGGCTGGGTACACACACCCTGTGAAATTGTTCCTAATGGCAGGAAAAAAGAGAATGCTAATAATGGACACAGATAAGAGCCACCCGCGATGCGGGGAGTAAGAGCCACCCCCTCTCCCCCCCCTGGCTATTACGACCCGCATCGCAGGGGGGTGAGGCACTCCCCCGCGTTTTTGTACTCAGATGATTGAAGATTGCTAGGTATCCTGTATGTGGATGTCTAAATCTCTTACAAGATTTGATAAGTTTTTATATATTCTTTCATTAAATAGATTTTCTAATGCCTCCATTCTTTCTTCACCTTAGGGGATATTGATAATTCATATGTTTGGTTACTTTATGGTTCCCATATCTTATCAAGACTGTGTTCATTTTTTATAAAACAAAATTTGTCTGACTGCATTATTTCAACAGACCTGCCTTTACATTTTGAGATTCTCTCTTCTGCCTGATCCAGTGTATTGTTGAAGTCTCTGAATATATTTTATATTTATTTAATAAATTATCCAGTTTCAGTAAGTATTTTTGTTTGTTTTCTTTAATGAAATCTATCTCTTTGGTACATTTCTTATTCATATCTTGAATTTTTTCTTCTGATTTCTTTGTACTGTTTTTCAGATTTTTTGTATCTCACTGAGATTCTTTGGTATTATAGTTTTGAATACTTTTTCCATAATTTGGTGATTTTTTTTGGTTGAGATCTGTTACTGGATAATTATGTTGTTCCTTTGAAGGCGTAATATTTCCTTATTTTTTCATGTTTCTTGTATCTGCTTCATGTTTCAGTTACACTGGTATCTGCACATTTGGTGTAATAGTTACTTCTTCCAGTTTTTTGGATTTACTTTTTTTTTTTTTTTTTTTTTTTGAGATGGAGTGTTGCTTTTTTACCCAGGCTGCAGTGCAGTGGCACAATCTCGGCTCACTGCAACCTCTGCCTCCTAGGTTCAAGGGATTCTCCTGCCTCAGCCTCCCGAGTAGCTGGGATTACAGGCACGCACAACCACGTCTGGCTAATTTTTATATTTTTAGTAGAGATGGGGTTGCACCATGTTGGCCAGGCTGGTCTTGAACTCCTGACCTCAAGTGATCCACCCGCCTCGGCTTCCCAAAGATCTGGGATTACAGCTGTGAGCCACCATGTCTGGCTTGGATTTACTTTAATTGGTGAGGACTTTTTCCTGAAGATGTATCAGTGGTGTGAGTTGGGTAGGGCCCTTTAATTTTGATTCTGGGTGCATGATGTAGTGTAGTTTTTGTATGATTTTTTCAGTGGTAAACAGTATCAGTGGTATCTGTGATTTCCTTGGTGATTTAGGATGTGGTTATTATTAAAGGCTATGATGAAGTTTTGCTGGGGACAAGGATGACACATTGGCCACTTTTCTGGCCCCAGTGTTGGCAGTGGTGGCCTGAGTGTTCTTGATATTTGGCCCCAGGGCAGTGGCATTTGTGGGACCAGGCAGGTTGATTCTTGGGCCTCCAGGTGGCTCATTTGGATGCCAGTAGTGGCAGTGGTGGGGCCAGGTGGGTGAGAAGATTCTCAGGTGCCTGAGCAGCCAGTGTGGTATGAGCCTTGGCAGTATCAGTGGTGGGACAACTCTTTGGATCCCAAGTAGTGCCCATTGATATAGGTGGTAGCAACAGTGCAAGGTTGCCATCCACAGCCCAAGATATGCAACTCTTTATTTATCCTGCTTTCTGTAGCAGTGGAAGCACTGTGCAGAGTGGAGAGGGACACTGTCTTCCATGCACAAGTCAAGGCATGGAAACTACACTGCCAGTGGGGGCACTGTAGCCACTCATAGCACCTGACAGACAACTCTGGCTTTCCTGCCCCATCCACCAGCAGTGGCAGCAGGGCTGTACCTGTAGTGGTGTGTGGAGGAGGAGAAGGGGTTGCACTTAATATGTGTGAGCCCGAGCACAGATCCGCCAATGAGAGGGGATCACACTTTGTTTGCTAGGCTGAGCACAGAGTTTGTGCCACTGCTGAGAGGGATATCACTTCTTATAGCTCCAGACAGGGAGCTCTTGGGCTCTGGAAAGTATATGTCTTGGATTCCCTTGCCCAGGGTCTGCCTTTTTGGTTCAGTGTACCATCCTTTGTCCAGGGAGTAGTACTTCATACAGGCTAGCGTACTGGAGATTCCACAACATCTTTGGGCCCAGCCAATACTGTTTCGCTATTGCTTTCCTGGTGGACACTGGGAGGTGACAGTGGAGGTTCACAAAATGTGGGGATATGTGGACTATGGTTCTTGATCAGAATGCAGTCCAGCAACAGCTGTATACTCACAATGATGCTCAGTTACAGCCGGCTAGGTCAGGGTGACTGAAGCACAAGTTTCCTGTCTGGTGCAATGCCTTTACAGTGTCTTATATTATTGCCCACATTAGTGTCAAGGTTTATGTGGGTGGGGGAGCTCTACTGTGCTTTGGATTGCAGCAGTCCACTGTGGGTATCTGAACTACTGAAGTTTTCTCACTTACCCTCTCTTCATAATACTGAGATCCTCGAGGCTCCCAACCAATCTTGGCCAAGTTGGCTACTCACTTCCTTCTTCTCTGTGGCTCACGTGTTTTTTGGAACTTCTCTGTTGTACTCTGTTGTTCTCTTAGGTGTTCTATTCAAGGTATAATTATCTATTCATAATTTTATTTCTTTTTTCTGATGGAGGCAGATGTCCAATGTCTGTAATCAGCAATCTTGAAATAGGATCCTCAATTTGTTTTTATAATTATGTATTTTAGTGTTAGCTTTCCATATTAGTCCATTTTTTTACACTGCTGTAAGGATACTACTGGGTAATTTATAAATGAAGAGGTTTAATTGACTCACAGTTCTGCATGACTGGTGAGGCCTCTGGAAAGTTACAATCACTGTGAATGGGGAAGCAGTCATGTCTTACATGGAGGCAGGCAAGAGAGAGCACTTGTGAGTACAGGAAAAACTGCCATCATCTATAAAACCATCAGATCTCCTGGGAATTCACTCAGTATACTGAGAACAACATAGAGGAACTGCCCCCACAATCAAATCACGACCCTCCCTTGACACCTGAGGATTGCAGGTGCCTCCCTCGGTAAGTGGGGATTACGATTTGAAATGAGATTTGGTTGGGAAACACAGTGCCAAACCATGTCACTTTCCCTTTCAAAATATTTTAAGCATGAAATTAATCCCCTGTAACTGACTCGGCCTAGATGTCTATCTGTGTTGTGTCTTGGTTTCTTCTATTTTATCTACTGACTTAATAGCTTTTTCACACTTTGTGAACATAAGAAAGAAGTATTTTAATCACTGTTAGTGGGAAATAGAGTGCTGTGATATTTTGGAGGCACGACTGCAAATACTTATCATCAAAAGCTTTTTGAGTGCATATACTCTTTAGCTTAGGAAATCCACTTTCGATTTACAAAACAAATGACACATTGTTTACAATAATAAAATTTTTTAAAAGCTTAATTATTCTGTAAAGGGAAACCAGATAAGTAAATTAAGGTATACGATATGACTGAATAATCTGGAATCCTTAAAAATGATGTGGTAGAAGAAGTATATATAACAATGTATATTCTCATTATATTACTTAGTAAAAAATAGCTGCTTATAAAAATAAATGACTAATAGTTAAGCCCTAATAGTGGAAGTTTTTATCTAATGAGACAATGTATTCTGTCTTTGGGAGATTCTACTTCTAGAAATTTTTTCTAATTATTAAATTTAGGTCTGTCCTATTAATCACCTCCAATATTATAGAGACCAGATCCAATTGTTCTTCCATTTGGTAGGCAATTATCTTTTCAAGTCTCGTCTTTAATCTTCTTGTTGAAAAATAAGTTTAAAATTCTTATTTATTTTACTTGTATTTCATATAACAAGGTCTTATGTTTAATTTTTGAACAGGCTGAAATTTTTCCTGTTTTGTTTTTAAAACCTTATATAGAAACATACATCTAATATTAAAATACTTGGGTGTGATGTAGTGACTAATGCCTGTAATTCTAACACTTTGGGAGCCCGAGGGAGGTGGATTGCTTGAGCCAGGAGTTTGAGAACAGTTTGGGCAACACAGGGAGACCCTGTCTCTACAAATAATTAGAAAATTAGCTGGGCATGTTGGCAAGCACTTATGGCTCCAGCTACTCTGGAGGCTGAAGTGGAAGGATCGCCTGAGCCTGGGAGGTAGAGGCTAGAGTGAGCCATGATGTAGCCACTACAATCCAGCCTGGGCAACAGAGTGTGACCCTGTCTCAAAATATATATAAGTGACCAGTTGAGATGCATGCAGCACTATTACCTACATCATTAATTCAACTCTATATGGTGTTCGATTTTTCTGTTACTTTTTATTTCCTCTTTCCTTCTGTTTATTTCTTATTTCCATTTTCATTTTTTCTGGAGTCACATGACACTACTGATGTTGACTAAATTTCTAACTTCCACCCAACACCCATGGTGTTTCTAAGCTCCATCTCTTCTACTTTGAATTTGTTAATTTAAACATATAACAAAGCATTACTTTTACCCCAGTTAAAAGTTTGTATGTTCATGTACTTTATTATTTCAAAAATATTTTTTGTTTTTTCTCTCCAAAGTATGCTGTCCATTTCTCATAGCTTCTAGTCATCCACATATTTTTTCAGTTTGCTTCTTCATTTTTCTTCAAAAACATTGATGAACCCTTTTCCACTCAATACTATTAATAGCTTCATAGGCAATAATTAACACCTGATCATGTACATAACAACCATTGGATGCCAACTTGAAACTACTAATAAATTCTGTAAGTCTATGAATCTCTCTTCTTCAGAGCTCGGCTTTAACTACTGTTTCTTTGCTGAACAACTCTTTGAATTTTTAATTTAAGCCAGATTATCTTAGCTCTTATTTTTCTGACACACAGTGAAAGTATAGGCATGTATCCTTATTTTTAAAATTTACCTTTCCATAGGTAGATTAAAAAAATCCATAGGAGCAGAGACAATTAGTGCTTTGATCACCAAAGTATTTTCAGATTTTAGTGGAAGGCTTGAGGCATATTAAGTATTCAATAATTTTTTAAATTAAATAGTGAATTCCATAGGATCCATATCGTGACAGAGTTATATTTAAGGGATATATATGCATATTTATGTATATGTGTGCACATTATACATGTATAAATATATATACATATATATCTCTATCTATCTATCTATCTATCTATCTATCTATCTATCTATCTATCTATCATCTATCTATCTATCTATCTAGAGACCCTTTTCCATAAGTGGTAATAGTTCTTCAGTTAAAAAAGATGTAGCCTCAAATCTATTTTTTAAAAAATTTCCACATTTACACCTTTACTGCATGGACATAGAATTGGAAAGGGTGATTTCTGAGGAACCTTCCTGGGTTACCTCAGTAAGTCTTTTGGATGTGTAAAAGACATGAGTTACACTCTTGATCCTGAGTACCTGCAATTAATCCTAATAGGTTCCACGTAGCAGGTGCTATTAAGGTGAATCACTGGGACTAAAAAAGAACAAACCATTTTTGCCTTACTGCAATAGCATTGCAGTGATAATAACACAGTCTTTTGTCACAGTCTTCTCTAGCTACGCTTGGTACTATATTCAATGCCAGGTGGAAAGAATTCCAAGATTATCTTCATACCTTTGTCAAACTTTTTGTTGAATACTATTTTTTAATGAAAGAATATAAATATCTTAAACTTTATGTTGTACATTTCTGCTTTTGAGGGTTTGTGTCTATGAATTTGTGTGTCATTATATATGGCTTTGTTCTTTCTTTGCTGAATTTCTTCCACCTCTATTTAATCCATGAAAATGCAAGCTAGAGACATTTATAAATATTATGAAAGTTGCTAAATTCATTTTCAGAAATAAAACTCTCTAGTTTACCAATCTGCTTATTCTTTCTTTACATAAATTTCTCATTGTGGCAAGCTTTGTCCTCTACTAAGCCAAGCAAATATAGCTCTTTTTCTCTCATCGGATGTGCCAGACTCTTCTAATCTCTCATGTTATTTCTTTTTAAGCATGGCCAGAAAGAAGAAAATGTATTTTATTTCAAATAAATTGTTTTATCTTTAATGCTGGATGCTCTTATTGGTGAGTGCAATTGTGTGTATGGGTGTGTTTAATCTCTGAAATCACATGTCTCTTCTGGATCAGGAGTCTGCAAACATTTCCACAAAGCATAAGATAGTAACTATTTTATACTTTAGGATATAGTTGCAACTGCTTAATTCTACCCTTCTAGTGGGAAAAGAGCCATAAAAAGGCATAAATAAATGCACATCTAGTGTTCCAGTAAGATTTCAATTCTAGCCTGTGATGGTAGTTTCCTAACCCATGCTCTAGTTTACTGAGAAAATTAATATTTTCTATTTTTGCTTTATTTCATGCTTTCTAACTTTTGACAACAAATATATTCAGTGTTCAGAAATGGCATCTTTAAAATTTTAAAAATATTTTTTCTAATATTTAATAAATAAAATACATGTGTAGACTTAGACATTAAGTGTATTTATGCATTTTTGCTATACATAGACTTCCCTCCTTTAATTATTAGGGGAAATTATATTGGACTGTATATACCATTATTTTGGTTTTCCACATTATATTTATATCTAATTTCAGGATTTGAAACACTGTAAGGAAGAAAAACCTTAAATAATTTATTTTCTTAATAGTTTTGTAGAGCCTCACATTTGATTTCGTGGAAATTTTATCTTTATATGTCCACAACCTATAAGGTTATTAGTGTGAAGACCAGTTTACTTCTTTGATTTCTGTTATATATCTTTTGAAGTATGCTAATGTAATGGAATCACCAATACACATGCAATGTGCTTTATCTGGTTTCATTAAAGGTGGTAAAAAAAAAAAAGGAAAAATAACAAACTATTGTCATCATGTAGTGTTGTAATGATATCCTTGACTGAAGTTTTCAAAGCATCAACTTTTTAATCAGATAAATAAATTATCTTCAGAGTCAGCATATTGAAGGCTGCTGGCTGACAGAAATAAATAGATAGGAGAAAAAATTGCAATGCAACTTCAGTAGAATAATATTAAGGTTAAACAATAATTCAACATGTTGTGGTTACATATGTGTATCCATACACAATTCCACATATGTTTGTTCTGTACATGATTGTATTCTTATATATTATGCAGTTAGACAATAAATTTTTAATATTCTGGAAGCAGAAATAACACCATTTTCACATAGATCCATCTAACTATTCAATAAAACTTATCAAACTCATAGAAACATATTTATAACAACCTATGCTGGCTTAATACATTTTAGTAAAAGAACAATTTCAGCTTATTACCTAATTTAATATGACATTCACAACCTTCTAACAAAGTCAGGTAAGTAAATTTATCCCCTCTTTATTAATGAGGACAGTGAGTTTACAGTGATTACTCATCTTGCTTATGTTTTTATAATAAATAAATTTCATTTTTAGGATTAGAGAACATGAATTATGATGCCTGGTATACATTCCCCACTCCCCTGTCTATAATAATTTCCTTTCCCTTGAATGGCCATTTAAAAATAATCAAATTTTGACTCAAATATACAATATATGTATAAGACATAACTCAAACTATTTTGCCCTGCCATGCCATAAATAAAATTTGTTTTAAAATCACTTTTTATTAATGTTATATTCTTATGGAATAGGCAAGACAGGTATTATTACCCCCCTTTTTTCTGATAAAGCTAAAGAACAAAAGTTGTTAAGTGAGTTTATTGTTATACTCCTAGTACCACACAAGCATTGTAAACTCCAGCTTGGTTTCTGGGGCAGAAACAGGAAACTTTCATCAAATAGTAACAACGATAATAATGATAGAACAAAAAAACTTAATAACTAGTACTCATAGGTCATTTAATGTGTCAGGTGTTTTCCTAAATGCTTTACATATTAACACCTTTCTAGAGATGAGGAAAGTAAAGACAAAAGCTAATAAAGACAAAAGCCAGTAAAGACAAAAGCTAGTAAATGATGGACTGTGGACTCATTCAGACAATCTTATCACACAGTCTGTGCACTTGACCAGAGCACTCTGCCACCTCTTTTACTAAATTAACCTCCATTGTGTCCAACAAAATAAATATTAGTGAGTAGTCAATGGTACAAATAGTTACAAAGTTAAGTAAGGTGACAGTTTAACAGTCCCAAAATAGGTATATAAATATGTACAAAACAATAAAACTATACATTTGAACAGTAATTTACATATTAATGATTGTTTCAGAATAGTTTCACGTACATTATTTTATTAGTCATAATATATCCAAAATTGCAGCAGCTAAAAAGTGTCAATACATAATTTTTATTTATTTTTCTTGATGAATTACAATTTTAAACACTATACGTAAATTTTAATTCTTTATCCATCAGTTTAAGATGTTCAGTTTGACCTATTATCTATTACATATGGTATTAGTGCTCCACATTAATCTCTAAACCTTTTCCTATTTCTGCAATTAGGTCTTCCTCATGTTATCTAAGTTGTTAATTCTGTATACTTAAAATCTAATAAACAGATGGTATAATTTTATCCTTATACAAATATTATTCACCGAACAGCCATGTATTATAATTACATCTGTGGAGAAAATAAACAATTGAAATAAATTATTTTAAATACCAAGGTCAAGTGAATTTTAATCTCTTGGCATTCCATTAAGCTTTACAAAATCATACTACCAAGGACCATGTTTATCTCCAACAAAACAAAACTATTTCCCCTGAATTTCAATGGGCCTTTTTTCTTTGAGAAAAATATGTCAGATGATTGACTTCTGCTGCCTATTTTAATTACGCAGTTGTTAAATATCCTAACTTGACTCAGTTGTTTTGTAGGCACATACATGCCTTCCACGATTTTTAAAAATTATTTTGTTGTACACCGCTATTTTGAATATGTACTTTCTTAGATCCCTTGTCTTTCTCCTTTTTGTATTTCTAGCTTTTTTATATTATAAATGAATGAAAATGACATAGAACTGGAAACTCTAATGAAGAATCAAGTGAAAATTTTAAAACTAAAAAATTGCAATAGCAAAAACTAAACAAACAAAGGGTAGACAGGAGAATACACAGAGATGAGAGGAAGATTAGAGAGCAGCACATTGGCAAAAAAATACTCACATTGAAGCTGTGTGGGTCCTCCAGGGAGACCCTGAGACACAGCTCAGCATTCAGAATGTTTATTTCAGAGTTCCCATGAGATTCACACTTTGAATGAGGAGGAAGCACCGTAAGGCAAAGGAGGAAGATGTATGGGTTATTTTGGAAACCTTCCACATCCAAGTTTCTGTTCACTGCTGCTAGGATGCTGATCAAGAGAGTGTTTTTATATTTAATCTTCATTATCTAAGGATATTCTGGTCACATGTTTGAGTTAATGAAATCACCTTTGAGGAAAGTTGTATGACATAAACATTATTTTTGACGAGAATTTCAGTTGAAGGAGGAGTAGAACTGTCATCAAGAAATAACACAATTTTGCAGTTGTTATTCCATCCAGCTTTTCTGCAGTGAGGATGAGCCACTGATACAAAATGTTTCTGAAACCAATCAGAAAAGATGTCCCTGGTGCCCTGGTGATCCATGTTTCTTTGTTAGCATAATAGTGGAAGAGTAAAAAATTCACTCCTTGAAAACAGCAAGCAGGCAGGCTTTTGCCTATCACAACAAATCTATACTTAACGTGTGTCTACTGCATTATTACATCCCACCATAGTTATTCTGTGCTTGGCATTTTAAATTTCTGTAGGGGTTGTCTCATCAGCTGTAGTTAGTGTCTTTCTTGGGCAATAATGCCAAAGCAGTGATATTTTCTTAGCGTCATAGACTTGTTCTAGCATCAGATTTTCATCAGTGATACTTTAGCAAACTCATCAATGAATTTCTCTGGGAAGGATCACTGCGGGCCTTTAAAAATTTAAGGCTGTATCTTTTCTTAAATTACTCCAACAAGCCTGTTGAATATTCACAGTATCCTCCAATTTTCAGTTCATTGCAATAAATCTTTGCTTGTTTCATGATCAACATACCATGACGTGGCATGTATTCACTACAATGCTCACAGCTCTAATCTTTCAATACACAATAAAGATCTTCATTTTTAAGCTCTATTCAGTGTTTTTCTATTTATCATTAACTGCTGTTCATCACTTTTAACATAAAATTCAAAAGTTTATACTTTTGTTTCTTCAGGATATAGTATGGTGGTTATTTCAGCACCATAATTTTCTGTAAAATACTTCACATTTACAACTTTGTCCAGTTTCTCCAACGGTTTGACTTTCTATGTTATTGATAAACTTAAATACTTTCTGATGTTTTGTCACTGTTATCCACAGGGTTATCTGCAAGAGCTGACATTTTCAACAATATCTTTACACCACACAGCAAAGGATAAGCAAAAACAACACAGTGAGCAATGCACATAGGTCTTGCCCCATCTGGGGCATCGTCAGGAACCTGCTGTTGGTGCATCCAACCTGCATGCATGCCATTTTATTACTCTTTGTAAGTGTGCTTACTGAGGGAAGCTGGGCATGAGGAAGAAAATATAATGCAGCTGAAGGGTGTTAGGGTCATTTTTCCCTCAGGGATGCTGAAGAAACTGTGTATTATACACCTGAGTTTTGATTGTGACCTGTCACATGGGGTCAGGTGTGAAATTTTCTACTTGTGGCTTCATGTCAGAACTAAATAAGTTTTGGATTTTGGAGCATTTTGTATTTTGAATTTCCAGGTTAGGAATAATATATATCTATATCTATATCTGTATCTCCAATTATATTCTCTTGTCTCTTGACATACATACATGCTGCTGCTTGTAGTTATCCAAAGGTTCACCATTAATCTGTTTATTCTCCTCTTCCTCCTCTTTCTTTGTCTTCCCCTTCTTTTTCTTTCATTTGTTTGTTTGTTTTGGGTAGTTTATATTGCTATGTTTTTAAGTTCATTAATATTTTTTCTGAAATATTTAATGTGACATTAATCACTTCCAGCATAGTCTATATTAAACTTCTTAGTTTCTATCTCAAGAAGGTTTATTTAGATTTGAACATGTATCTAAAATGTCTCTACAAACACATCCAATCTTTCTTCTAGCATTTAAATGTATGAAATGCAAGTATAACTGTTATTTCAATAGCCTTATCTATGAAATTCTAAGCTCTATATAAATTCTGGGTTGCTTTCAATTGATCGATTTTTCCCATTATTGTTAGTCATACTTTCTTCATTCTTTGCATACCTATTTTTTTTTTTTTTTTTTTTTTTGAGACGGAGTCTCGCTCTGTCGCCCAGGCCGGACTGCGGACTGCAGTGGCGCAATCTCGGCTCACTGCAAGCTCCGCTTCCCGGGTTCACGCCATTCTCCTGCCTCAGCCTCCCGAGTAGCTGGGACTACAGGCGCCCGCCACCGCGCCCGGCTAATTTTTTGTATTTTTAGTAGAGACGGGGTTTCACCTTGTTAGCCAGGATGGTCTCGATCTCCTGACCTCATGATCCACCCGCCTCGGCCTCCCAAAGTGCTGGGATTACAGGCGTGAGCCACCGCGCCCAGCCCCTATTTTTAAATAAATGCCAGAAATTGTGATTTTACTATTTTGGAAACTAAATACGTAGGTACTCTTATAAATGTTCTTGAGATTTGCTCTTGGATGAGCAACTGGTTTATTCTTTCAATTCCTGCTTTTTCTATTCATGGGGTGAGATCAGATTAGCATTTAAGCTACACCTAATTTTTCCTCACTGCTGGGTCAAAGCCTTTTTACATATTCTGTTCAATGAGCCATAAATATAGATATTACCCCAATCTGACTAGTGGGAATAGAAAAACTTAAGAAACTTGCCAATCTAATTCTTATCCAATAGATGTGCATAGCATAAGAAATGCAATAATATATAGTAAGAATAATACATGATAATCAAATTGAATTTATTTCAGAAATACAAGGTTAGTTTTCCTAAAAACAAAGAAACCAGATGAGGCTTTTCATCATTGTAATAGAACTAAATAATAAATTTATATGATCATCTCCATAGATGCAAAAACAGTATTTAAAAAATTAACACCGAAATAGAATTTTCAGTCTTGGCTATTATAGATTTATAACCTGCTACCCTAAAAATTATAAAAGCAAGACAAAACATGTTAAAAATTCATTTACAATATTGGAAAGCAATCAAATAAGGGAAATATTAATCTCTTATTTAGTTCAGCTTTCACCTTAAAAGCATTCTTCAAACTGCGTTTCTGATAAAGAAAACACTTGCAGAAAATGGTAGTTTTACTAGATAGAGGGAATAGATTTCAGAATTCAAGGCTTCCAAAGCCACCAGGATTTGTTGGAGGCAAGTTACCTGAAGAGATCCCTAATAGTCTGTGTAAAAAGTCTCCTAAGTATATGTATGAATAAACTTTTGAGAGTTTCTGGGAAGCTAGAGTTGAGCAGTTGAGCAGAGATTTCAGAGGCTACACATTGCATATTCCATCAGTAAATGCAAAATTAAAATAGGCAAAGTCTGCAGCCAAGCATTAACAACATCAAGACAGTGGACTGTTAAATTAACTGTCTGCCAGGAAAAAAAAAAAAAAAAGGCAACATTCTTTAGAGGAAGATAACATAAACTAGAGGCTCTACATTTATTATCTACAAATTATATAAAATTATACATTTCTGGATATGTAAGGAAGTAGGAAAAGTGACTGATAATCAAGAGAAAAAAATAATCAATGAAACCTTACCTTGAAACAGTCCGTACATATTGCTGATAGCAGAAGAGAACTCAAAGTAACTATCTTTAATATGGTAAATAAAATAAGAAAAAACATGGGATAGATCATTTCGAATAGGAATTCAAATCTATAAAATAACTACAAAACCTATAAAATCTTTAAAAATAACCAAATAGAAATCTTAGTTAAAATATTCAATATCAACATTAAAAGCTTTTTTGATGCATATAGTAATATTGAGAAGAGTAGAAGATTAATTGAACTATAGATCAATACAAAGTATCCAAGTTGAAAAATAGGTAAAAATTTAAATAACAGAAACAAAAATGAGAAATATTTGTGTTATATGCTGAACACATCTCATACATATGTAATTTAAGTCCCAGAAGGAGAGAAAAGAGAATGGATCAGAAGAAATATTTGAAGGACAAACAAAACAAATAAATGGTCAAGAATATTTCCATGTGATGAAAGGGCAACCTTCAGATTAAATAATCTAAATAAATCTCAAACATAATAAATAGAAATAAAACTAAAACCATGTTATACTCAAATTTCTGAAATTTCTCAAAGACAAAGAGAAAAACTTAAAAACAGCGAAGGTAAAACCATATTACCTTCAAAGGAGCAAATTAAGCCTACTTGATGATGTTACAAAGGAAGGACAAAGCTAGATGGTAATGGAAACAGATACTTAAATGGTTTAAGTCAAAGACTGTCAATCTAGAATCGTGTCGTCAATGGATATATTCTTCAAAATAAAAGCAAGACAAAGATCTTTGCAGATAGAAGACAAGAAATGGGCCAGTCACTGTGACTCACGCCTGTAATCCCAGCACTTTGGGAGGCCTAGCGGGCAGATCACGAGGTCAAGAGATCCAGACCATCCTGTCCAACATGGTGAAACCCCATCTCTGCTGAAAATACAAAAAGTAGCTGGGCATGGCGGCGCGCACTTATAGTTCCAGCTACTCTAGAGGCTGAGGCAGGAGAGTCGCTTGAACCCAGGGGGTGGAGGTTGCAGTAAGTCGAGATCGCGCCACTGTACTCCAGCCTGGCGACAGGGCAAGACTCCGTCTAAAAAAAACCAAACAAACAAACAAACAAAAAGAAAAAGGAAAAAATACATATTTTCAGCGAACTTACACTACTAAAAAAGAAAATTCCCTAGATTGAAACGAAATTATTCAAGGGAAAAATAAAAAATTAAGACTGTGTTAAGAAATGAGGGCTACCAGAAAGGGTAAATACTTCTATAAATGTATATTGACTATTTGAAAGAGCAATAATAATGTTTTATGAGATCTATAACATTGGTTAAAGTAAAATACATGATGCTACTGGCACAAAGTGTGAGAGGGGCTCAATGGGAATGAACATTTAGAAGATCTTCGTGTTATTTCAAAAGTGAAAGGCATCAAATGCGAGTATTATTTAAATAAGTAAGAATACATGTTGTAATTGTTAGGTTAACCACTAAAATAATTAAAACAGAACATACATCTAAATAGCTGATATTGTAAAGCAAGAAATGGTTTTATAAAATTATTAAATCCAGAAAACAAACGAAAAACAGAAGGTGATGAGATAAAGTAAAAAGATAGCAATGTGGCAGATATAAAACCAATTATATCAGTGATTATGCAAAATGTAAAAGGTATAAACACTTCAAATCACAGATAATAAAACAATTTTAAAGCTCCAATTATATTCTCTCATCTCTTGAATATTTGTAAATTAAAAAAAGAGCACACTTTAAATAACTCAGGTGTCAATGGTAAAATCACAGTGTCAGTGAGAAACTATGTGATGCCCAAAATAAAAATATATAATATCAAAATTTGCAGGATATAGCTGACATAATGCTTAGAGAGAAATTAAGAGCTTTAAGTTACTATATCAGAAAAAACAAAAAACTGAAAATTAATTATATAAAGCATGCATCTCATTAAGCTGAAGAAAAATAGTGAATTAAATATAAACAATCTTACCCTTTTAATTCCTTTGTAGTATTTCATAGTGGGTGGTTTCCAAACTTTACTTACTACATGTCAAGATCAACCTTCCATTACATTTAAAACTAGCTTTCTGATTAAGATGTTAGGTGTGGGTTATTGTTTAGCTCTAAAATCTGTTGAAAGATGAGTTTGAAACATATAGCTTATAAAATGAAGACTAAAAAGATATATCTATTAACATTAAAAATTTGAGAGAAGGGCATATTATGATTGCAAAATAAAAGCCATTTTAAAAGACAAAAATATAAAAGAAACAATTGAATATACTTATTTGTGTATTTAGCCTACTTTTTTATCCATCTGGATAACTGGTTGTACCTACTATAAGTATAGATAATTTGAATATATATCCAAAATATTAACCACAGTTATTGTTGGGTTACACAATGACTAGTTTTGTTAATTTTTACATATTTTCAATATTCTTATAAGGAACATTATTATGTAATAAGAATTTTTAAAGAAGCACTACTAATTAAGGACTTTTTTTTTTTACTAATTACTTACATATGTTTTCCTAATTCTCATAAGAATCATAAACAGAGATATTGTTTGTACCTCCTATGACAGATTAAAGTCAGAGTTTTCTACAGGAATTTCAAGGAATGTTGATTCAATTATTTAATCAAATTAAGTTCATCCTTCATCAATTAGATTTACATTTAGAGATGAGTTAAAAGGCGATAGATGTAATTCCATCAGTAAAAATCTATAAGATTATTAAAACTTTTGTCTTCTCATAATTTCATTTTAGAGAAACATTTTAAATGTTATCCTTTAAATAAGGTAGGCTCCATTCAAGTTTCCCAATGGTCATAACACAAGAGGGAGATGTATTAAAAGATGTCAGGAATAAAAAGTCAATATACTTGTTATCAAATAGTTAACATTAAAATGTAAGAAGGCCTTTGAAATAAATGTGATTTTGAATCAAATCACAAAGAAGATATTAAAATATATAAACCATTTTATTTATAAGTCAATAGTGCACCTACATAAGCAGACCAAATATATTTCCTTAGGAGTGCATTTGTCAGTGTATGTGTGATATAATACATTTGATTTTTAAGTGTCCTATATTTTATCTTTAAGTAATTTTAATTATACCATAGACTATATGATTAGTGCTCATAATTTATTTAAAAAGTAGATATGTATAATTTAAAAAGCAAAATTACTCCTTAATATTGTCCCATCCTATAATCGATAGAATTTTTAATAATATTATACATATTCTTTTTCATAAAATGGTACTTTGCAGTAAAAAAAAAATAGAATTTAGCAGCGTAGCATTGAACATTATTGTAATTTGGAACCACACAGTTTTTTTTTTTTTTTAACTTCAAAGTTGGACTCTGAACGTTTTAACAATTTGGAAAGCCCTGTGACCATTACATCTTTTTTGTGTAGTTCAACCTCGTTAAAAATACTTGCTAATGAATTTGGAACCAAGAGCCTGCAATCACAAAGTGCAAATTAAGACTTCTGTTATCATTAATGTAAGTAAACACCCACAAATCAAGACAAAATGGATCCCTATATTCTAAACTTTGAAGTTTTTATGAGAAATAAATTAACCATAAAATTAGAGTGCAGGCAGTTTTCTGAAGAAAAAAAATCTTAAAGGTACTCTGAAATACTTAAAAGGCAATACTTCCTTTACAAATTTAGGCAGAGACACATAAGTTGAACAAGGCAATTTGAAAATTGGGCAAGATTTAGATTCCCATTAAAAGTGGCCTTTGCTTAAGTTTTCTGAAAGTGAATTAGACTCACTGTAAGTGGCTGCTACACAATAGTTTAAAAAACCAAAAACAACACAGATGAAGTGCTCTTACCGCCTTAGACTCCTCAAACCTAGATATTCAGGGAAGTCTCTCCAAAATGATGACTACTTCCAAGATCACTATTTCAGAGCAGAATAAATAAAGTTTTTTGAAGAGCATGAGAAAAAAAATAAAAGAAACATTAAAATGCAGACAAATGTGTATGTTTAAGTGTTTTATTAATGAGAAGGAATTTGTATTTTTTAACAAGTACTCATTTTAAACTTTCAATTTAGAGATAAATGTATATAAGAACATATACAATTTAGATACTGTGCATCCACAAATAATTATAAAAGTAAGATCATTTAAAAGGATAAGATCTAAAGAATACATGAACACTAATCCTTTTTAGTGTGACAATGTAAAAATAGAAATCTTATAAATATGAGCCATGAAGCATTCTCATCAGGATTTCATTGCAAAACATGAGACCAAGTCCTGAAAGGCTGATTATATTAAATATCTCGACATATGTTGTTTAAGTCATGTTAACTTAAGCTTCTACCACTATTAAAAGTTACAAAAATACTTTAAGACCTTATTATAATTTCTTTCATATGTCGTTTGAATTTGATGAAAGAAACTAAGGCATATTTCAAGTTTCAAAACATATATGTTCAGGATTTGCTAGATCAGATTTGAACCACTCAGCTTAACAATGTACCTTTCTAAAAGCATTGCTTTTATCATTACAACTTCAATTTTAACACTTAGACAAGATTTTGAAGGATCAAAGATAGGTGTCCTTTATTTAGATGAAGTCAATCAAGGAGGATTTAGTTAAAACTTTAATGTTAAAATTTAAAAATTTCCAGAACCTTGTTACTATGGCAATACTTATTTTTAAGTCAAAATGGTTAGCATTCAGAATTCAGTTTAGAATAATTTTAAATAACCTTTGTTCTCTAGTCCCTAGTTCCTAACATGTTTGCCTCAGAAATCTCATTGAAATGAAAATATATATAGAGAGAAATATGATTAAAATTAACATATATATATTTTCATTTCATTGAGGTATGTGTGTATACACACAGACACACACACACGCCTATTTTGAGAGCGAGCGAGCGAGAGAGTTATCAGCAATTTCTATTGGTTCATAATTCCACATTGTTTCTTTATTTTAGACATTTCCATTATTAAAGAATGGCCATCACAGATATAGTGTTCTCTTTTTTGGTGAATTTTAAAAGGACATTGTATTTAAATATTTCAGATCTATTTATATGTGTAAGATATAACCAAAATCTGTTCACCTGTCGCCCAAATCAAGTTCAGTTAAACCTATTTCTATCTTCCATCTCTTTCCCTTGGGAATTTTATCTTATTCATTTTTCTACCTTTATAGACAGATTCCTAAACTATTGATAATACGTTTTCATATTTTAAATTTTGACCGAAGTACTTTTATATTGTTTGTATTTTTCTACAATTATAGTATTCTTTGCTATCTTAGTTGTGTTACTATTTTTTAATAAGTTTTCAGATTAGGAGGTCTGTTTATTGATGTTATATAGAAAATATTACAATGGTTATGTTCATATTATATTCAGTAAACTTGTTTTATTTAAACGATTTGCTTACAGATTCTCATGTTTTGTTATCAAATGTTTTGAAAATAATGACAGTTTGTTCATTGCCAAATTTAATATTTCTCATTTTTTTCCTTTGTGTCCTCTTATTCTGTTAGCTTAGACCTTGAACACATTGTTGCACAAAAAATAGCAAGTACCAGGAATCTTGTGTTCTTTACAATATTTAAAAAAAATGCATCTTGAACTTTGAAATTTATGATGTTTTCTGTAGTTTTTTGGTAGATAAGCTTTACTGGGAAAGAGTTAACTTTCTATTCATAATTTCATTTTAGAAAATAATATTCTCCTGTAGGAATAAAATGTATTTGTAAGTAATTTTTAATAAAATTTAAGTATATATTAAATCTCACGTGAAAAACATATAGCCTCTGATAATTAAAAAAAAACTGAAAAATAAAACTAAACTGAAAACCAAGATATTTCTCAATTGTAAACATAGATAATTCATATGTTAGTATACAGCAGTACACACAATCCAGAAATATATTACTTGAATCACGCTTCTCAAAAATATTTATTTCAAAAATCTTAGAATGGCAGTTTATTACCATGGAATTGAAAATCCTAAGGAAGATTTTTTACAGACAGAAATCCTGGTTCTTTCCCTTAATACTGTGTCCTTGAGCACACTATTTACTCTCATTAATACTTTCTTCAGGGTTAATTTAATTCATGTTATCAATAATTTAATAATACCTCAGACTATGTTTTAAAGATTTGTGAAATAAGTTTTTTAAATAGCATATATGGATACAAAGGAAACATTCATTATTGTTGAAAATCTTAGCTATTGGATCAATGTCATCATTTTTGTTTTAAATAAATAAATAAGACAATAAACTAATTACTCAAAGAGAATATAAACTATTATCGCTTTCTGGTTACATGATTTCTTTGAATATGTTTATATTTCAGATATAAGTAACATTTTAAGCTACATTAATTGAATGTGAAAAGATAAATAGAATAAAATGAACATAACCTAACTGAGGTCCCCTAAATTAGTGAAATATTATGGCTATTTCTATAATTAGTGTTCAGAAACCTGGCCACTTAGAGAGTCAAATTTTTATGAATGGTTATCTCAATAGCAATTTTTGGTTGATTTGTTTTCTTTATGATATTTTCTGTCTTGTAAATTTTACCCAAAGGATACATGAGTTTTATAACACTAAAACAAACAATATTTTTATAATAAATATTGGACTAAAAGTTTCCCCATTGTGTTTGAATTTTTTTTTTGTAGATTTCAGAATCAGAACTGAAAACAAGAGACATAGAATACTTCATTTCTTAAGGACAGTCATTGACAACCTGGGCTGCACACTTTTCCCTCAGAGCCAAACCAAATTGCCACGTGTTCTTACTTACAAGTGGGAGCTAAACATTAGGTGCAGGTGGACCTTAAGGAAACAATAGACACTGGGGACTATTAAAGTGGGGAGGGAGGCAAGAGTTAAAAAACGACTTCTTGGTTACTATGCTCACTTTCTGGGTGATGGAATCGTTTGTACTCCGGATCTCAGCATCATGTGATATACCCGTTAACAAATCTGCACATGTACCCCTGAATTGAAATAAAGTTAGAGAAAGAAAGGAGGCTTCAGATTCACAGGATGACCAAATGGAAGAGAGATTAATAGAAAATACACGAACTAAAACGCACAAAGAACAAAAAAACAGAATAGAAAAAAAGAGAGCAGAAGAGACATAGGACACTGGGAAAATTTCTACCAAACATACAGTTACGGTCCAGAGAGTAGTCATGAGAATGGAGGCACAATTAATATTTGATAATGCAATTCCAAAATATTGTCAAAACTGTTGAAAGACACCAATTCAAAGAATCAAGAACATCTGAGAACCCCCAATAAATAAATAAAATGTGTACCATAGTACAATTTTTCTCAATGTTTGGCTGCAGGAATGCCATCATCACCACTCGGGAATTGGTTAGAAATACAAATTCTTAGGCTCCACTTCAGACCAACGAAATCTGAAACTCCGCCTACAGGGCCCAGAGATTTGTATTTCAACAGGCCCTCCAAATGAATGCTTTAGAATTACTAAGCAAACTGATAGGAAAAAAATAAACAAATGTGAGTAACTGCAGAAGAAAATAAGACAAATATAATCATATTGTTGTAAACTAATATACAGACCCAAAATATAGCAATTTCAATGTCTATTATCTTTTGTAATATCTAAGCATGCAAGTGATCCAGCGAATGACGATGTAGATCTAGCAAGTGCATCAATGTTGTAGCAAGAGTTTATACCAGGCAGGGCGTGGTGGCTTACGCCTGTAATCCCAGCACTTTGGGGGGCTGAGGCAAGTGGATCACGAGGTCAGGAGTTCGATACTAGCGTGGCCAACATGGTGAAATCCCGTCTCTATTAAAAATACAAAAATTAGCTGAGTGTGGTAGCGGGCGCCTGTAATCCCAGCTTCTCGGGATGCTGAGGCAGGAGAATTACTTGAACCTGGGAGGCGGAGGTTGCAGTGAGCTGAGATCGTGCCACTGTACTCCAGCCTGGGTGTCAGAGCAAGACTCCATCTTCGAAAAAAAGAAGAGTTTATACTAATTTAATATTGTATTTATAACAAGTGTTATCTCTGATTTTACAGGGCCATTTTTTACTTCAGAGAATGGTACGTTTTGACTTGGATGTGCAGCCTTCTCTAAACTATTTTGTAAAATGTTTCTTTGATTAGAAAAAGTATGTAAAAAGTTTTGGGGAGAGCATGCCATGAAAACTATTTTCTTTAAATTGTTATATGAGGAACTTTATTTCTGTGAAAATATTTGAATGAACATTGATCCTAATCTTCCTCCACCCTGAACCATTGAATGTTGCACTTTTGAACTTCAGCTTTTATATTAATAGAAATCTTAGAGCGTTTGTACATTTATTATCAGAGATGAACTTAAAACATAAGCAAATATGTGCATTGTTTCATGACAATATGAATACACACTATTGAAATTTCTATTTTGTCATTTACAAATAGCAAAATTATTGTTTAGGCTAAGAACAATTTTTCAATATGTCTTTAAGATAAAAATAGATACAAATAAGACATTGAAAAATCCCTTTCAGGGGAAAATTTACTAGGCACAAATTATTCTTACTTTGCACAAGCTACTTATTTGTAAGTGGAAATTTTGAGCCCTCTGAAACAGTATTTGAGTTGTCAACATTAAGAGAAGTGTGATTACCTATTGCTTTTGTTGTGAAGGTAAAGAAAGTCAGCTGTGTCTTGCTTTAACATGACCTTCACAGGGAGTATCAAGGGCAGTTTACCTTTTGCTAATTTCATATATTGCAAGCTGTGGGTAAGAGCTGACCAGCAAAATAAAATTGATTTTGGTGGCATTTAATTTACATAAATTCAATAACATTGTCCTTTAAAATAGACCATTTTGTTCAAAGAAACATTTTGAAAGTTACTGAGTCTTTAAAATAGTATTTTTGTGTGTATGTGAATGTGTTTGGCATGGTTGTGAAAAGGCCAAAGTGAAAGAGAAAAATGTAAAAGTCTGTTCACTAATATCCCACATTTTGGATGAAGGCAGGAGGACTAAGCAGCATCCCTAAATCTAGTAGAAGAGGAACATAGGTATCTATATATTAGGGAGATTATGAATAAAATTGTGACTTGTGTTTTAGAACAAGAATTTTACATGAATAGCATTTGTTGCTGTTGATAATTATGTTTAAATAAATAATCCTTCTAAGTCATACTACACAGTGTAATATCATTTAGAAATTGAAGGGGTTGAGGTATATTAGGCCATCTAATGCCATTTATTTCATTGAATAGAAAAATAAAGTATGGAGAATTTAAGTGAATATCTTTAAATGTTTCATTTGAATCCAATGTGAAATGTTAGATTTTATTGTTAATATATGATTACCATTGTAATTATTGAGCAGATAGTTGAGGCAGACTTTAAAAGTTTAAAACATGTTCTCAAATTCTTTGATTCTCTTTCCATCAAGAGTTGGGTGTCTATATAACTTCCCTTTGAATCTGAGAGACTTCTCAGTATGGGAGTGAAGTCCAGCAATCTATGTATCAACAGGCTTTCCAACTGAATGCTGGAGAAATACTACAATCATACTTTAGTGTCTATTGTGTAGGATAAAGTAACACCCTGTAGCTTCTAAGGCGATGCCATACAAATTATTACATCTTCTACTGTAATGTCTTAGAATGTTTGCTGTTTGGACAATTTCTTTGGGATTTTTCTTTTGGAATCCAGCCACCCTCCTATAAGACCCTGATATATTCTGGGGTTACAGATAGGTGCTCCAGGAGCCAATCCTTGCTAAATTTAGCCTTTGAGTCTTCCTAGCTCATGCTCCAGACATGAAGAAGGCTTTAGATATTCCATTACCCAACTGTCCAAGTCATCACCAGCTGTTCAACTCTTCCCAGCTGAGGCCCTAGACATTATTAAGCAGAAATTAGACATCCCTGCTATGGAAATCTCCAAATTCCTGTTTCAAAGAGTATTTGATAATATCAAACTAGTTTTTCTTTTATAACACTCATTTTGGGATGGTTTGTTTTATAGTGATGGATCTATGAAACATTAGACAAAGAAATAATCATATTAATAAGTATAGCTTATAATTCTTGAGCATTCATTATGTATCATGACCTTAATAAAAATTATTTCACTTGGTCTATCATCACATTCAAAAAGATAACAGAAAGCCATAAATATTTAAATAAAACATCTGTATCTCAAAAAATTCACTATTTTTTTTCCTTTTAAATGTGTACAGCAACCACTCAGATTTGTGGTCCAGTTGCTGAGAGAGATAAATGAGAAAAATATGTATATAGATGCTTCCAGCTTAAGGAGAAAACTTAATGATTTCATGGAGTTATAGAACTAAGAAAAATAAAAATTTACTTAGTAGAAAAACATGCTTAGTAGACAATGTTAAAAGAGGTCGTGTGTTAGGCCATTCTTGCATTGCTATAATACCTGAGGCTGGGTAATTTATAGAGAAAAGAGGTTGAATTGGCTCACAGGTCTTCAGACTTTATAGAAATCATGGTGCTGACATCTTCTTGGCTTCAGGTAGGGGCCTGAGGAAGCTTTCAATCATGGCACAAGGTGACAAAGGAGCCAACATGTCACATGGCAAGAGCAGGAGAAAGAGAGGGAGCGAGAAAAAGAGAAGGTGGCGGGTGTGGTCCCAGTGTTTTAAACAACCAGATCTTGCATAATTAACTAAGTAAGACCTCACTTCTCACCAAGGCAATGGTAATAAACCAGTCATGATGGATCTGTTCCATGATGCAATCAGGCCTTACTGGGCTCCACCTTTTAGTAACTTTGGTAGTGAGAAATAAAATTTGGAAAAACAACAACAACAATAATGTTTTTAGAAGAGAAATAATAATAAAAAAAAAAAACAGAAGGGACGCCAGACTCACATTTATGAAGAAATAGAAGAAGCCACATAAAGAGATAAACAAAAATTGAACAAAAATATTTTCAATAAAATGAAGTCAAAATATATTTCCTATGAAATATATATAAGTAAAAATACTAGGATAATTTAAGTCATCTAGATTAATTTAGATTTAGTATAGGAATCACTGAGAAGTGTTTTTTTTCAACTTCCCTATTCAATATCTAAGGCACCAAACTGGTAAAAGTCATCTGAAAGCGTGGAATATCATTTCAAGCAATCAAACTAAGTGCCAGTTTTACTAACTTTGGGGCCACTGGAACTGGACTGGAAAAAGAAATCTAAGTTCTCCCAAACCAAACCCCTTGAAAACTTGTAAAACACTGAAAATGAATCATCAACTTATAGGTTAAATTTAGATTAAAAATGGATACATTCTCCCTTACTCTGAATAACACAGAATTAAAAGTAAAAACAGTATTGTATAATAATGCAAAAAGACAATGTAGCTTAGGATTTCCATGAGTGGACTTAGAAAAAAAGAGTGCTTGGATCACAAGCCTTTGAGTAATGAGCATCTTCCTCCATGAACTAGGATATATGATGGTACCTGTATTTATATAATTTTTTTAATTATAAAATGAGATAAAGTATGTGAAGCACTTAGTACACTGTCAGACATGTATCAATACTCAGCAAATGACAGTCATTATTACTAGTTACACGGATTGAGCAGGTACACTATCTTTCACCCCAAGGCTTTTTTCCATGCATTCCTTCATCCTAAAGTTTTGTGATAAAGGCATTATTTTTATGTCCACTTTACTGACAATTACATTTGTGTGTAGTGAACTTAAATATATATCTATTGACAAGAAAATTAAGTTTAGTAAACTTAGATATGTATTTACTGACAAAGAAACTAAAGTATATAGTAAACTTAAATATACACCCCAAAGTTATACAGCTGGTATAGATATTTTTCCTACTAAGAGGGAAATATTTAGAGATTTGTCTGAAAGGTAAGAAAATTAATTTCTTCCCATTTAGTTGAGAAACTAAAAAAAAAACTTTGCGATTTTATCTGTGCTAATTTTAGCCATATACTGAAGATTAATACTATTACACATTTTTTTAAAGTGTAAAAATTTTAAAACTTTAAAATCATTTAACAAAATAATGGATATTTATTGATGTATGGATCAGTAAAAATAACTGTTTATTGTTTGAAACCATTTAGGTTTCCATTATTGATAATCGTAATTCATTATTAACAGCTTACTATGTTGCATTGTAATAGCATGTTGTTCTTATTTTAAATATTAATAGAAAAAGCAGATTTAATTGACTTTGAATGGATTTTCATATTCTTAATACAATGAAGCTATGTTTTACTTTCAAAAGTTTTTTCAGTTCTTAAAATTTTTTTATCATTGTGAGATATTTCATTTACTTATTGTAAGTAAGCCAAATTCATGGTGTATTCATTAAAAACAATTATATCATTTAAAATATTTATTTTATGACATTAACTTATTTTCAATGTATTGCCTAATTTTAGTATTGTTTTTAGTATACTTTAAAGAGAGTTTATGTACCACTTTTTTTGGATATAAAATAAATTTTAAAAAAGAATGCTATGGCTACCTTTGCCTGGTGTGAAAAAAATACTATTATAATGGTTTTCTTATTGGATTTTCCCAATAATAAGGCTTAATTTGAATATTCTAGCTCCATTGATAAACATTAGATGTGTTCTCATTAAATTTTCCGCTGCGTTGACAGTTTATTTTCTGAAAGTGATTGTTTGCAGAAATACCAGTATTAGAAAGAAGAGGATAAAACTGACTTTGTTTGCTTTATGAAACACTAATACACAAAGCAGAGTGGGGAGTGGGAGATGTTGACCAAATACACAAAATTCCAGTTAAACAGTAGTAAGTTCATGAGATTTAATGTGCATCATAGTAACTGTGTTTAATAACAATATATTGTATATTTGAAAATAGCCAATAGAGTAGCTTTTAAGTGTTTTCACCACAAGAAAATAACAAGTGTGTGAAACAACGCATATATTAAATAGCTTGATTTAGATATTCAACAATATATACATGTATAAAAAATCATTCTGTACACTATAAATATTTACAATTTTAATTCTTAATTAAAATATCTCAACATACAGAATGCTCAAAATAGTTAACAAAACATTTATTCATAAGGATCACATTAAAATTATTTGTTATTAATTGTGGTAAAATGTATTTAACATAAAATTGACCATTTAACTATTTTTAAATATATAGGTCAGTAGCATCAAGTACATTCACATTATTGTGCAACCATCACTGCTATTCATTTCCAAAATATTTTTCCTCTTAAAAAACTGAAACTTGTATCCATTAAGTAGTAACTTCCTATTCTTCTCTCCTCTAAACTTCTGACAATTACCATTCTCTCTTTTGTATTTACGATTTTGACTACTGTAAGTACCTCACATGAGTAGAATCATTCGAATTTTGTCCTTTTGTGACAAAGCTGGTTTAATTCAACTAGAATAATTTAAGATTCATCTATTTTGTAGCATATGCTAGAAAATCCTTCCTTTTTAATCCTAAATAATATTCCATTGTATGTATATACCAAATTTTCTTTATACATTAATCTTTCAACGAGCATTTATACTGCTTCCATCTTTTGACTATCATGAATACTGCCGCTATGAACATTGTTGTACATATGTACATTTGTCACAGGCTTCACTTCTTTCAGGTATACACTCAAAAGTGGATGGCTTGATAATATGGTAATTATATTTTTAATTTTTCAAGGAAGTGCCATATTGTTTTTTATTGTGGCTATAATAGTCTACAGTCCCACCAACAGTGCACAAGAAATCCAATTTCTCCACATCTGTCCTGGAAAATGTTGCATGTGCATTTGAGAAGAATGTGTATTCTGATTTTGTTGAATGGAAAGCTCTGTGTATGTCTGATAAATCTAGTTGCTTTATTTTGTTATTCAAGTTTTCTATTTATTTGCTAATCTGATGTTTATTATGTGTAAATGCCTGAAATTGTCATATTTTCTTGCTGCATTAAACATTTTTGTAGGCCAGGCACGGTGGCTCACGCCTGTAATCCCAGCACTTTGGGAGGCCGAGGTGGGTGGATCACGAGGTCAGGAGATCGAGACCATCGTGGCTAACACGGTGAAACCCCGTCTCTACTAAAAAATAGAAAAAATTAGCCGGGCGTGGTGGCAGGAGCCTGTAGTCCCAGCTACTCGGGAGGCTGAGGCAGGAGAATGGTGTGAACCTGGGAGGCAGAGCTTGCAGTGAGCCAAGATCGTGCCACTGCACTCCAGCCTGGGTGACAGAGGGAGACTCTGTCTAAAAAAAAAAAAAAAAAAAAAAAATTTGTAAATATGTAATCACTGATTTATCTTTTGTATTTTTTTCTGCAATACAACAAACGCGTATTTTAAGCAAATCATGGAAATAAGAAAATCAGAATGGATTATTTCAAGCATGAGAAACATTTTACCAACATTTACATTTGCTATATCAACAGTTTCTATTGGTAAGTATGAGTTTGTCAGTCTCATATGAATCACTTGTAATCTTTTCTGACTTGAAGTCAATTTTGTCTGACATTAGTATAGCCACCCCTGCTGTCTTTTGGTTACTGCTATAGCTTCAATGTGTCCCCAAAAGTTCATGTGTTGGAAATTTAATCCCCAATGCAACAGTGTTGAGAAGCAGCCTGGCTTAGACTATGAGTAGAGGAAGGTGTTGTAAGTGATCTTCAACTAATTGAACCTTAGTATGAAGATTTTAAGAAACAGTTATATGTGACAAAATAAAATCTTTGTCTTCTTATTGACAGGTGGAGAGAAAAACTCTATGTCCAATTAAGATCACAGGAGAGAAATGGCAGGAGGTAGCTGTGAATATGCAGAAAAGTAGATTATTCAAGATATATTTGTTCTTAATGAGTGTTTAAAAGAAATGCAGACAAGTTAGGAGACAAGCTTAACTTACAGGTTTCTGGCTTGTGTAAATAGATATGGCTTTAAATAAATAACACTTTAGAGGAAAATGACAGTCCAGATTTGAACATGTTGAATTTGAAACGTTTCTAAAACATCCAAAAGGAGAGGAAAAGTAGTCAGGCAAACATGTGGGACTATTATGGAGATAAAGGTGTGTGCATTCACAGCTCATAGCTGAGAATTAAAGCCATTACAGCATATTGGTTTGCCAGATTTAATGTATAATGTGAGGGGAGACAAGAGCTTAGAATAAATAACAAGAGACATTACCATTTTTGTAGAGTTGATATAAGAAAAACATGTAAAGAAGACTGAAGACCAGACAAAGTGGTGCTAGGAAAACCAGGAAAGTGAGGAAAATTTGAACAATGGAAATAATGGGCTCAAATAACATCCAAAATGTTGCCAAGAATCAAATGGCAGAGTCTGTTAATGCCAAAAGCTAAGGCCTTATAGGAGTAGATAAATAAATCAGTGGGTAGTGATCTGGAAGTAGGAGAGTAACTGTCAAAGAGAGAATGGCTAAAAAAGAGTTGGATGGGAAGAGGAGAAATTGAGAGAAATATTTTATTAATTTATAAATATAAAACAGAAATTCAGATTTCTGATTAGTGGGGAAACGAGTGAATGATAGGGTTGAGAACTCAAGAGTGAATTTTAGCAAGCAGAGATATAACAGGCACTGGCAACTTTTGGCAATTCTTGCTACATTATTTTTGGCATAACACAATGCGATGCATATGCAATTACTGCATTGTCTTTCCTATTCCTAGCAAAAGAAAACCTTGTAAATTTTAGTGTCATGTTTATCAAGTGTCATTATGAACTAGCAGAGTGGTTATTGTTATTTTTGTTTTTCTTATTTTTATTTTGGAGAGGGTCTCTTAAGCTTGAACGGTTTCATGACACAAGTGTAAAAAATAACTTTAGTCTTGTGAATGTTCTTAAAAGATCATATTCACTACCATGAGCTGGAGGAAATTTGTTTTGGTCAAACTTACTTAACATTTTGAGTAAAGTTTGCTAATCATTGAATATGTTATAATACACTTTCAAATATTCTTTATTTCTCTGGGACATTTCAAAGACAAGGGACTTTGGTTTGGAATTATAATTGTCATCGGACCTTTTCATGGTTCTTCTATTGTCAAGGATTTACAATAGAATATTACATTTTATAATGTTCTGATGAAAAAGTAAGACAAATTTAATTAAGAGAAGAGGCTAAACAAACTTTTAAGTAACTTTAGGTAACAAATGTCACAGCTATTGAGTGAGGTGGGAAAAGAAAGAACCCTGTAATATGAGTTTAAATAACACCTCTCAGGGTACTTCATTGATGTCTCTCTTATTCACTTAAATCAAGATTTGTACAATTGTTTATGCACTTACTTTCAAAATAAAAGGCATGCCGCTTTCTATTGTCATAGAAGAATTCAATTTACACTGTAGATCTTCTTAACAAAATAAAACAACTTTAACAAAAGAGAGCCCCTCTAGAGTGGCTGACCACTCTAACAATTTTTTGAAAGTTGTTCTTTGTGGTTATGCTTTCTGGGACATGAATTCCCTGCAAAATATTAAATTCTTACTTCCAAACTTGTCTATTTTTATAAACAATAACCACTGTCTAATCTCTGATATTTTACCATGTAATGTTGAAATTCCCCCCAAAATAGAAGGCATTGAGTATTTGCCACTCAGGAACATCTTTAGAGAAGAACTGAGCCACATTCTCAAAGACATTCTGATTGTTATCATGTGTTAAGAAGTTAGAAAACTATTTCTATTTCAATGTTTTTGTAGGGCACATAAGAAGTTTTGAAAGTTTTTTTGTAAAAAAAGTACATGTGTATTCTTAATTATATAGTGAGTACACAAATTTGAAGTCTTTGTTCAAAACTTTAGAAAACATAAAAAAGTCACACCAAGTGGTGCTTATTCCACTATTATCTCCAATCACTGATATATTACTTTCACTGAAACTTTTCAATACACAATATGAACTCATTAGTCCAATCAAATTGCATTTTTAATTGCTTTTGATTTCAGAATGGCCCAGGTATAATAATAAAGAAGGAAAAGCAAATAATGAAAAAATTGACTCATAAATGAATCTAGATGATGATAAAATCAACCATTTTTCTTTCAGGGAAATTTTTAGATATTTCACAAGAGATATTTCATAATGATGGGACTAATGTCTCTGAAAAAAATTTGAAATTACTCACTTAAAATCCAAGCTTTGAGTTAAATCTAATGACCAGGTTAATGGTGTCATTAAGAACTGTAAGATGTATTGCATTATCCAGCAAACTACTCATTATACTCTTCCAACAAACATACTTTTCTAGGGATTGTGATGAACGTTTTTTTCGGTAAGAACTAATCACATTTTTAATGTATTTGCTTTTTAAATTGATAAGCAAAATTTATATATATTTATGGCACAAAACATGATATTTTAATATTTCTCCACATTGTGGAATGGCTAAATCAAGCTAGTTTACAAATTCACTACTTCACACACTTATTTTTTATGATAAGAATGCTTAAAATCTACTCTCTTAGTAATTTTCAAGTATACAACATATTGTTATTAACTATGGGTTACATGATATATTTCAGATTTCTTGAAATTATTTCTCCTACCTAACTGAAATTTTGTCTCCTTTGACCAACATATCTCCAGTCTCCCCACCCCCCGGCTTCTGGTGACCACCATTTCACTGTCTACTTTTATAAGCTGTAAACTTTTTTTTTTTAATAAGAATTTCCATATAAATGAAGTCATTCAGCATTTATGTGTTTGGTTTATTTCAATTAATACGATGTCCTCCATGTTCATCCATGTTGTCAAAAATAACAGAATTTTCTATTTTATTTTAAGTCTGAATAGTACTACATTGTGTATATATACCACATTTTATTTACCTATTTATACATTAATGGACACTTAGGTGGATTCTATATCTTGACTATTGTGAAAAATGTTGCAACAAATGTAAGAGTGTAGTTATCTCTTCAACATACTGATGTATGGTTCGAAAATATATATTCCATTCATAGGTAGTGTCTAAACTCTTTGGATTATTTCCCTTGCTGTGCAGAAGCTTTTTCATTTGATGTAACCTCATTTGTTTATTTTTGTTTTTGATACGTATGCCTTTGGGGTAATATGCAAGAAATCATCTCCCAGAACAGTGTCATAGAGTGTTTCCCCTATGTTTTATTCTAGTAGTTTTACATTTTCACATCTTACATTTCAATCTTCAATTTTTTTTTTTTTTTTTTTTTGGCAGAGTCTCCCTCTTGTTGCCCAGGCTGGAGTGCAATGGTGCATCTCAGCTCATTGTAACCTCTGCCTCCTGGGTTCAAGTGATTCTCCTGCCTCAGTCTCCCGAGTAGCTGGGATTACAGGTGCCTGCCACCATGCAGGGCTAACTTTTTTGTATTTTTAATAGAGACAGCATTTCACCATGTAGGCCAGGCTGGTCTTAAACTCCTGACCTCAGGTGATCCACCCTCCTTGGTCTCCCAAAGTGCTGGGCTTACAGGTGAGCCACCAAACCTGGCCTGATTTTTGTATACTATACGAGATGAGGGTCTAATCCAATCTTCTGTGTAGGAATATCCAGTTTTCCCCACACCACTGATTGAAGAGACTGTCGTTTTTCCATTGTGTGTTTGGGGTACCTTTGTCAAAAATCAATTGACTGGAGGCAGAGCAAGATGACTGACTAGAAGCCTCCACTGATCACCTTTTTCATAGGAACACCAAATTAAACAACTATTCACACAAAAAAAGCGCTTTTACAGTAGCCTAAAATTAAGTCAGAGATCACAGTGCCTGGTTTTAACTTCATATCACTGAAAGGGGCATTGAACAGGGTAAAAAAGACAGTTTTGAATTGCCAAGGCCAATCCCCCCCATCCTCCAGCAGTGGCCATATGGTGATGAGAGAGAATTTGTGTACTGGAGGAGGGAGAGTACAGTGATTCTGGGACTTTGCACTGGGACTCAATGCTGCCCTGTCACAGTGGAAATCAACACCAGGAAGAACTTAGCCAGTGCCCACAGTGGAAGTGTATAGACCAGCCCTGGCCAAGAGGAATCAGCTATCCCAGTGGTCAGAGCTTGAGTTCCAGCAAGCCCCACCATCATTGGCTAAAGAGCTTTAGGAGTCTAAATAAACTTGAAAGGCAGTCACGGCCACAAGGACTGCAGTTCCTGGACAAGTCCTGGTGCTGTTCTGGGCTTGGAGCCAGCGGACCCGGGTGGGGCACATGACCTAGAGAGACACCAGCTGGGGTGGCCAAGGGAGTGCCTTCATCATCCCTCCCCAACCTCAAGGAGTACAACTTGCAGCTACAAAAGAGAGTCCTTACTTCTGCTTGAGGAGAGGAGAGGCAAGAGTAAAGAAGCCTTTGTCTTGCAACTTGGATACCAGTTCAGCCACAGGAGAAGGGGGCACCAGACTGTGCCCTGGGGCCCTATTCCAGGTCACAGCTCCCAGATGACATTTCTGGACATACTCAGGTCCTGAAGGGAAACCTGTGTCTTGAAGGGAAGGACCAAGTCCTGGAAAAATTGATCACCTGCTGACTAAAAAGCCCTTGGGCCCTGAATAATCGGCAGTGGTAGCCAGGCAATACTCACCATGAACCTTGGGTCAAACTCAGAGATGTACTGGCTTCAGGTGTGACCCAGAACATTTCCACCTCCAATGGCTACAGGGAGAAACTGTTTCCTCTTGAGTAAAGAAGAGGGAAGAGTAAAGGGGACTCTGTCTTGCAGTTTAGATACCAGCTCAATCACAGAAGGATAGATCAGTAAGAAAGGAGAAGGAAGAGTAAAGGGGACTTTGTCTTGTAGTTTAGATACCAGCTCAACCACAGAAGGGTAGATCAGTAAGCAAGCTCTTGGCATCCCTGATTCCAGGATTTGGCTCTTGGATGGCATTTCTAGATCTGCCCTGGGCCAGACGGGAGTTCACTGACCTAAAGAGAGAGTCCCAAGCCTGGAAACATTCACCAAAAGCTGACTGAAGTGCCCTTGGGCCTTTAGTAAATATTACAGGTAGCCAGCAATACTTGCCATGGGCCTGTTGTGGTGGAGGTCATGGGGAGAGGCTCCTCTGCTTGTGAAAAGGGGAGGAAAGAGTGGAAGAGACTTTGTCTTTAGACTTGGGTGCCAGGTGAACTGCAGTAGAAATAGACCACCAAGTAGATTCCTGAGGTTTCAGACTCCAGGCACTGGCTCTAGGATGGCATCTCAGTGTTGGGGGTAAATTGCTGCTCTGAAGGGAAGGACACTAGCTAAGCTGGCTTCACCTTCTTCTGATTGTAGTGCCCTACAGCCTTGAGAAAACATAGGCAGTGGCCAGCCAGTGACTACTGTGGGCCTTGGGAGAGACCCAGTGTTGTGCTGGCTGCAGGTCTGTCTCAGAAGTCCCAGTGCTAGTGACCTCAAGGGTGCTTGTTTACCCCTCCTCCAGCACCAAACAGCTCAGAACAGAGACACATTCCATTTGTTTCAGAGAAAGTAAGGAAAGCAAATGAGAGTTATCTGCATGGAAAACCAGATAATTCTTGCAGATCTTATCCAAGACCACCAAGGCAGTACCACTACAAGTCTGAAAGAGCCACAGTGTTACTGGGCCTAAGAAGCTCCCTATTATAGAGATAGCTGCAGTGACCAAAAACTTAGGTCACAGCACCCACGTCTTTTTAAATACCTGCAAAGCCTTCCCCAGGAGGACAACAAGCCCAAACTGTTAGGACTACAATAAATACCTAACTCTTCAATGCTCAGATGCCAGTGAACATCTACATGCATCAAGGCATCCAGGAAAACATGAATTTACCAAATGAAATAAATAAGGTACTAGTGATCAATCCTAGAGAGACAGAAATAAGTGACCTTTCAGACAGAGAATGCAAAATTGTTGTTTTGAGAAAACTCAATGAAATTCAAGATAACAAAGAGAAGGAATTCACGATCCTATCACAAACGTTTAAGAAAGAGATTCAAATAAATAAAAAGAATCAAGCAGAAATTCTGGAGTTGATAAGTGCAATTGACATACTAAAGAATGCATCAGAGTCTCTTATCAGAAAAATTGATAGAGCAGAAGAAAGAATTATTGAGCATGAAGACAGGCCATTTGAAAATACACAGTCACAAAAGACAAAAAATTATGGACTATGAAAGAATAAAGCATGCCTACAAGATCTAGAAAATAGCCTCAAAAGGGCAAATCTAATGGTTATTGGACTTAAAGAGGAGATAGAGGGAGAGAGAAAGAAAGTTTAATTAAAGGGATAATAACAGAGAACTTTGAAACCTAGAAAAAGATATCAATAACCAAGAACAAGAAGGTTACAGAAAACTAAGAAGATTAACCCAAATAAGACTATCTCAAGATGTAGTCAAACACTCAAAGGTCAAGGATAAAGAAAGAATTGTATAAGCAGCAAGAGAAAATGAACAAATAACATACAATGGAACTCCAATTATGTCTGGCAGCAGACTTTCAGTGTAAACCATATAGGCTGTCAGAGAGTGGCATGACATATTTAAAGGCCGAAGGGGAAAAAAAAACATTTATTCTAGAATAATGTATCTGGCAAAAAAAATGTCCTTCAAACTTGATGGAGAAATAAAGACTTTCTCAGACAAACAATAGCTGACGGATTTTATCAGCACTAGACCTGTCCTACAAGAAATGGTGAAGGTGCTTCTTCAGTTTGAAATAGAAAGATGTTAATGAGCATAAGAAATCATCTGAAGGTACAAACTCACTGGTGATAGTGAGTAGACAGAAAAATAGAATATTTTAATACTATGATTACCATGTAATCTACTTATATTTTGAGTATGAAGACTAAAAGATGAGCATATCAAAAATAATAACTACAACAACATTAAAAGTCAGAGACAGTACATAAGATACAAATAGAGACAATAAAAAAATTTAAAAGCTGGGGAATAAATTGTAGGGTTTTGGTAAGCATACTCCTTGCATGTTTGTTGGTTTGTTTGTGTATGCAGTGTTAAATTGTTATCAGTTTGAAATAATGGGTTTTAAGGTATTATTTGTAAGGCTTATGCTTTTCTCAAGTAAAAAAAATACAAGAGATTACACACACACAAAAAGCAAGAAATTAAAACAAAGCACTAGAGAAAATTACTTTCACTAAAAGAAAGACAGGAAGGAAGGAAAGAAGTAAGAGAAGATCACAAAACAACCAGAAATCAAACAACAAAATGGAAAGAGTAAGTCTCCTTATTAATGCTGGCATTGAATGTAAAGGGACTATACTCTTCAATCAAATGATACAGAATGGCTGATTGGAGAAAAAATAATAATAATAATTACATGATTCAAGGATCTGTTGCCTACAAGAAGCAAATGTTACCTATAAAGATCTGCATAGGCTGAAAATAATGGGATGGAAAAAGGTATTTCATGCAAAGAAAACTAAAAGGAGCAGGAGTAGCTATATTCATATAAGACAAAATAGATTTCAAAATTAGAAGTATAAAAAGGGACAAAGAAGACCATTATATAATGATAAAAGGGAAAATTCAGCAAGAGTTTATGACAATTGTAAATATGTATGCTCCCCAACACTGGAACACACAGATATATTAAACAAATATTACTAGAGCTAAAGAGAGAGGTAGACTCCAATACAATAATAACTGGAGACATCAACACCCCACTTTCAGCATTAGATAGATTGTCCAGATAGAAAATCCACAAAGAAACAAGTTTTCTTCTGCACTATTGACCAAATGGACTTAATAGATATTTACAGAATATTTCATTCAACTGCTGCAGAAAACACATTTTACTCCTTAGCACTTGGATCATTCTCAAAGATTGACCATATGTTAGACCACAAAACAAGTCTTAAAACATTTAAAAAATTGAAGTAATATCAAATATCTTTGACCACAATGAAATAAACAGATCAATATCAAGATAAATTTGGAAAACTATACAAACACATAGAAATTAAACAAAATGCTATGAATGATCAGTGGGTTAATGAAGGAATTATGAAGGAAATTTTGAAATGTCTTAAAACAATGATAAAGAAAAAAAAACTACCCAAAACTATAGAATACAGTGAAAGCAATACTAAGAGGACAGTTTACTGCTTTAACACCTATTTCAAAAAACGAGAAAAACTTCAAATAAACAACCTAATGATGCATCTTATAGAATTAGTAAAGCAAGAGGAAACAAAATCCAAAATTAGTAAAAGAAAAGAAGTAATAAAGATTAAAGCAGAAATAAATAAAATTGAAATGAAGAAAACAATACGAAAGATCAATGAAAGTAAAAGATAAAAAATAGACAAAACTTTAGCCAGAATATCTAAGAAAAAAGAGAGAAGACCCAAATAAATAAAATCAGAGATGAAAAAGGAGACATTACAGTTAATGCTGCAGAAATTAAAAGGATCATTAGTGGCTACTTTGAGCAACTATATTCTATGAATTGGAAAACGTAGAAGAAATGGATAAATTTTTAGATACATACAACCTACCAAAGTTGAACCATGAAGAAATCCAAAACCTGAACAGGCCAATCATAAGTAACTAGATTGAATCTGTAATAAAATGTCTCCTAGCATAGAAAAACCTGGAACCTGGTGGCTTGACCATTGAATTTTACTAAACATTCAATTAAAAACCAATACCGTTTCTACCCAAACTATTCCAAAAATAGAGGAGAGAATACTTCCAAACCCACTCTATGAGGCTAGTGTTATACTGATACCTAAACTAAACCAGAAAAAGGCACATCAAAAAATCCACAAAACTACAGGAAATTAAATATTATTGATGAACATTGATGCAAAAACCCTCAACAAAATACAGTAGTGGAAACCAAATTCAACAACACATAAAAAGGTAATTCATCATGAGATTTATCCTGGGAATGCAAGAATGCTTCAACACCTGCAAATCAATCAATGCTATACATCATATGAACAGAATGAAGTACAAAAATTATACGATCATTTTAATTGATGCTGGAAAAGCATTTGATAAAATTTAGAATTTCCTCATGATAAAAACCTTAAGAAAACTTAGTATAGAAGGAACATACCTCAACGCAAGGAAATCCTGTATGACAAACCCATCGTTAGTTTCATACTGAATGAAGAAAAACTGAAAGGCTTTCCTCTCAGATCTGGAGCATGGCAAGGATGCCCCCTTTCACAACTGTTATTCAGAATATTACTGGAAGTCCTAACTAAAACAATCAGACAAGAGACAGAAATAAAGGACATCCAATTGGAAAAGAAGAAGTCAAATTAACATTTGCAGATGATCTTACCTCATCTTTGGAAAAAGCTAAAGACTCCACCAAAAAACTATTAGAACTGATAAACAAATTCAGTAAAGTAGTAGGATACAAAACCAACTTACAAAAATTAGTAGTATTTCTATATGCCAACAGTAAAAAATCTGAAAAAGAAATTTAAAAATAATCCAATTTATAATAGCTACAAATAAAACTCAACACCAAGGAATTAACCAAAGAAGTGAAAAGTCTCTACAATGACAACCATAAATATTGTTGCAAGTAATTGAAGAGGACACAAAAAATGAAAAGATATTCTATGTTCATGGGTTGGAAGAATTAATATTGGTAAAATGTTTATGCTACCAAAGCAATCTACAGATTCGATACAAACTCTATCAAAACATCAGTGACATTCATCCCAGAAATAGAAAAAAAATTCTAAACTTTATATGTCACCACGAAAAGATAGACAAACTATCCTGAGCAAAAGAACAAAACTGGAGGAATCACATTACCTGACTTCAAATTATACTACAGAGCTATAGTAACTGAAACATCACACAGCAGTGGCATAAAAACGTACACATCAACAAATGGAACAGAATAGAGAACCCAGAATCAAATTCATGCATCTACAATAAACTCATTTTTTACAATGGTGCCAAAAAACATATATCGGGGAAAGGATAGTCTTTTCAATAAATGGTGCTGGGGAAACTGGAAATCCATGTCCAGAAGAATGAAACTAGACCTCTACTAATTGCCATATACAAAAATCAAATCAAAATGAATTAAATATTTAAATACAAGACCTCAAACTATGAAACTACTAAGAGGAAAGCATCAGGGAAACTGTCCAGGAAACGGAACTGGTCAAAGATTTCTTGAGTGATAAGCCACAAGCATATTGGACAAATGGGATCACATCAATTTAAAAAGCTTCTGGGCTGGGTCCAGTGGCTCACGCCTGTAATCCCAACACTTCGGGAGGCCAGGGCAGGTGGATCACCTGAGTCAGGAGTTCGAGACCAGCCTGGCCAACATGATGAAACCCTGTCTCTACTTAAAAAAGAAAAAAAAAATACAAAAATTAGTCAGGCATTGTGGTGGTCACCTGTAATCCCGCTACTTAGGAGGCTGAGGCAGGAGAATCACTTGAACCCGTGAGGCGGAGGTTGCAGTGAACCAAGATCACACCATTGAACTCCAGCCTGGGCTACAAGAGTGAAATTCGTCTCAAAAAAAAAAAAAAAAAAAAAAAAAAAAGCTTCTGTACAGCAAAGGGAACAATCAGCTAAATGAAGAGGCAACCCACAGA